>NC_000012.12:115338915-115490431 GCF_000001405.40 Homo sapiens
TGGTAAAGTCCTGGTTCTCAAAAGTGATTTCCAGACCAGCAGCATCCACAGCGCTTGAACTTGTTCAAAATGCAAATTTATCGGGCTCACTGCTAGACCCAATGACTCAGAAATTTGCAGAAAGAGAGATTCAGAAATCTGCATTTTAACAAGCCCTCCAGGCTATTGTGATACAAACTCACAGTTGAGAATGAGAGTGTAAGGAATTCTTTTTATAGATGAGGGAACAAACGGACAGAGAGGTCAAGCAGCCTGTCCAAGGTTGCAGAGGCAGTGGTTGCGGAGCTGGGCCTTAACCCCATTGTTTATGGTTTCTAATGAGAGACACCTGGGAGAAGCATTAAAATGCAGTTTCCCTTGTCCTCTCTAGACCGACTGACTCAAGATCTCCAGGGCTAGGGCCCCAACTTTGTCTTTCAGCAAACTTCCAGGTGAGTCTAGAGTTTTAGAATTCTTCCATAGTTCCTGTTGGACTATACTCGTGTAGTTATTTTCTCTTCCCACTGTCCAGTTTCCTTCTTTTCTTTCTCCCACATCCCTTCATTTTTTCCCCTTCTCCTATACTTTGGGCCTCTCTCCAAAACTAGCTAGTTGTTCATAACTAGTTTGTTGCAGAGAAACTAGAAGAAACCCAGGGTACCATGTCTTATACCTCTCCGTTTTTAAGCTGGTTAATAAAAAGTAATTAAAAGTCATCCACAAATATGTTTGTTGTTAGAATTTCAAACAGTGTAGAATTTTAGAGATTTTTAGAGAGTAAAAGCTGTTTTTCTTCTGATCCTTCCCAAAACCAGGCCACCCCCAATTACTGTTAATAGTTTAGTGTGTAACGTTCCAGACACCTACATTTTTTATTCGAATAAATATATGCAGATACACACTCAGAGGATAATTCAAAACAGAAATGGAACTACACTATTCCTATTATACTGTGACGTGGCTCACTTATAGATATTTTATACATTCCTTTGTGTGATTTTGTTTGTTTTTTATTTATTTATCTTTTTTTAATTTTACTTTAAGTTCTGGGATACATGTGCAGAACATGCAAGTTTGTTACATAGGTATACACGTGCCATGGTGGTTTGCTGCACCTATCAACCCGTCATCTAGGTTTTTAAGTCCCGCATGCATTAGGTATTTGTCCTAATGCTCTCCCTCCCCTTGCCCCCCAACCCCTGACAGGCCCCCGTGTGTGATGTTCCCTTCCCTGTGTCCAGGTGTTCTCATTGTTTAACTCCCACTTATGAGTGAGAACATGCAGTGTTTGCTTTCTTGTTCCTGTATTAGTTTGCTGAGAACGATGGCTTCCCTGCAAAGGACATGAACCCATTCTTTGTTATGGCTGCATAATATTCCACGGTGTATATGTGCCACATTTTCTTTATCCAGTCTATCATTAATAGGCATTTGGGTTGATTCCAAGTCTTTGCTATTGTGAACAGTGGCTCAATAAACATATGTGTGCATGTGTCTTTATAGTAGAATGATTTATAATTTGGGTATATAATACAAATAAATATAGCATATTCTTGCTAATGGTTATAGAGTATACCACTTTTGAAAGTATATGAATGAGTTGAATTAGTCACGAATAGATGGTCATTTTTGTAGCTTCCTATTTTTCACTATTGTAAACAGCATGACTCTAAATATGTGCTTGTACATATGCTTTTGTTTGTTTGTTTTAAGACAGGGTCTCACTCACTCTATCGTCCAGGTTGGAGTGCAGTGGTACAACCTTGGCTCACTGTAACCTCTGCCTCCTCGGTTCAAGTGATTCTCCTGCCTCAGCCTCCAGAATAGCTGACATTACAGGTGTATGCCACCACACCTGGATAATTTTTGTATTTTTAGTAAAGATGGGGTTTCACCATGTCGGCCAGGCTGGTCTCAAACCCCTGACCCCATGTGATACCCCCACTTCGGCCTCCCGAAGTGCTGGTATTACAGGCATGTGCCACCATACCCGGCCCATATGCTTCTTTGAATATGTGTAGTCTGAAAGGTGAATTGCTTTGGAGAGAAAATACTGGGATTCAACCTTCTGTCCACTTGGCAATTTTCTTCCATTCTTTTCCAGTCAGAGATTTCTATGCCTAGGAGGGTAATTGACACAGAATGACAGCTACTATTTTCACTGCTGCTTTTCCTTTTTACCTGCTTCTGGGGAGTAAGGGAGAGTTGAAAACTAAAATGGATGTACTCTCTTGCCAAAGTGGGAAGATTGTCATGAAGGCCAGCTCAAGCTTCAAGACAAAAGCTACTAATAGTGCTCTTGACATCATTCTTAGAGAGAAAGAAGATGCGCTTACTGATTGAAAAACTTGGCAGTTTTTAGCAACAAGGAAAGTTGGTGAATTTTCCCAGGTTAAGTGTGAAACATGACAGAGCTTGGGTGAGCTGCTCTGACTCCTTATTCATTGTTGCTATTTTCTTTTTTTTTTTTCTTTTTTCAAATTATACTTTAAGTTCTGGGATACACGTGCAGAACATGCAGGTTTGTTACATAGGTATACATGTGCCTTGGTGGTTTGCTGAACTCACATCTGAACCGGTCATCTACTCATTGTTGCTATTTTCTATGAAGCCCCAACCCCCTGTGATTTCAGTATAAACACCATACAGCCACCCACACCCCACCGGCTCCCTATGACTCAGTCACATGCTCATCCCCGAGTCATTAGAGAATGGAAATCATGAGCAAGATCTGGCTCACACCCAGGGAGTGACAAAGCATGTCCAGAAAATCAGGGATTCCCCTTCTGCCAAGGAGGCGCGAGTGGAGACAGCCAATTCTCCATGGTCAGGAGGGGGATGTTTCAAAGCTCCAGGCCTCTGAGGTTGGCAGAACTGCATGTTGTTTTGGGAAACTGTGCATTGCAGCAATTGTGAGAGAACAGAACTGTCTTCGAGGCAAGAGAAATAACAGAGCTGAAATAGACCATGCAATAATGGTGAACTGTAATCTCAGGTTTCATTGGTGCCATGATCTTAATTATAAATAGTATTTGAAACCCATTTTTCTCCCTCTTTAATGATAACAACTAAGTTTGTTAAGTAGTTACTCTGTTTTAGGCACTGTCCTAAGGGAATTAGAATACTATAAGTATTTTGGACAACAATTTGATCCTCAGGACAACCCTTTTGATAGGATTATTGTGATCTTCACTGAAAATTGAAGAAACTGAGTCTCAGAGGCTAGACAAGGACTTTGTTACACAGTTAAGAGAGTGTGAATCCCAGGCTTTGTGAAAGATTAAAATAAGCACAAAATAAATGCATGTTACAAATCATTACTGAAAAGGAGCAAATGCATTTAACCTCAAAGTTAGCTCGCAGTTTCTGAACGTCAAGAATCTGGAAGCAGCTTAACTGCATGGTTCTGCTTCAGAGTCTCTCATGACATGGCAGTCAAGTAGTCAGATGGGCTGTCGTCTCATTTGAAGGCTTGACTGGGGGAAATTCATTTCAATGCTTATTCATGTGGCTGTTGGCAGGAAGTCTCAGATTCTCACTATGTAGGTCTCTCTTCAGGGCTGCTCCCAAAATAGCTCCCCCCACCTGCCCCCCACCCCGCCCCCCACCATGATCAGTTGAAAGACAGAGAGGAGAGAAGAGAGCAGGGAGGAGGGAGAAGGGAGGAAGAAAAAAGGAGAGCAGGAAAGGGGGGGATGGGGGAGAGATAATATACCTGCAATTTCTTTTGTTATCTAATCTCAGAGGTGAAACACCATCACTTCCGCTGTATGCCATTGGTGAGACCAACCCTGGTATAATGTGGGAGGGAACTACACAAGGATAGGACTATTAGAAACTGGTTACCATAAGAATACATCTCTCCGCTAGAAAATCTTTGTGGTCTTCACGTGAAACAACACACCAAGGACCTAGTATCCTTTATTTTTTTCTCTCCATCCATCACTCCGACCAATGTCAAATATATACAATTGGAGGGAACATTTCTTGCCAAAGAATGAGGAGCTTCTATGTTGATTCTGCATGGGAATATCACCCGATAAACTTTGTTCCTGTCAACTCAGTCTCCTTAACAAATAGGCAGGTAGCATTGTCTTCCCTTTTACCACCTTGAATCAAGGATGCTGGTTATTCTAACTCCAATTCCATCTCGAAGGTTAATTCTCTACCTTGCTCTGCCCTCTTTGTGATGCACACAGACTATGAAACTCATGTTCCCTTACCCCGGCTTTCAGTTGGGTTTGACCAATGATAAACACCAGCAGAAGACTGAGGGTGGCAAGAGAGAGAGCTTGGGTATCAATGCCTCTACTCCCTCTCTGCTTCTGTATTATATATCTGAAAGGGTTTGTGGCTCCCCATGTCTACATCACTCACTGGGTGACCTCACCTCCATGGCTCCAGCTTTCACTGGACTCCAAGGGTCCTTTTCCTCCCACTGCCCCTTGTGTTCCAGGGTTGGTGACAACTTCCTGCTGTTAGAAGTCCCTGATGGTGCTTCATCATCCATTTCTGGTTCTCCTAACTCAGCTCACAATTCTGTAAATAGCCCTTATGGAAATGTCTCTCAGTTAAACAGCTGAACGAATTTTTTTTTTTTCTGCTGGGATCCTGGCTCCATAGACAATGAAATGGGCTCTGACTCCCACACCTTTGTTTCTTCACACTTCAAGACGATCCTTTAAACATGTATAAGTGTACAGAAGGGCATAAGGCTCACTTTCGTAAACATGGGATTTGAGAAATCCCTCGAGACATATTATGGGGTATGAGGATTCACATGACCTAGGATTCACATGGCCCTGACCACCACATCAACCTCGCAGAGCCTTTTTGAATCATCAAAAGTTTTATGCATTTTAAATGTGGAATGCATGAACGTGGGCTTTAAGAGGATTTCCAGTGGATGATTACCTAGGGCACTGAAATGTGAGGAGCTTGTTGGCAGGAAGTCTCTTCCTCATCCCCCAAATCCCGCCTCCCTACCAAAACCAATCACAGTTTGCAATTTGAGTTATGTAACACTGTGTATGGCCTCCTCTTTATTATAATTTCCTCATAGGAATCTTTATTGTTTTTTCTTTCTGAGGAAAGAAGGTAGAGGAAACCTAAGTTTAAGAACATCCCTTCCTTAGACGAATAAAATGTAGTAGTCTTCTATTACTGATCGTGTCTAAGAGAAAAGAAAAATAGCAAAGCTGGCAATGATTTTGCAAATCACTCCCTCTTACATTCATTTATCCATTCACTTATACCTTCCGAGATCTGTACCTTGTGTTAGGGAGGTTCTGAGGGTGCACAAAGAAATCCGATGGGGTATCTTCCCTCAAGGAGCCCACAGTTAAGAGAAATTAAGCAGACAAGAGCAAAACAGTCAAAGTAAAGAAGAGCTTTTTGTCATTGTATTTGTTTGTTTGTTTTTTTAAATCTAGACTTTCTCTCTTTTCCTCTACCACAGAAGGTCAAACTGAGGGCGCATTCTTCCACGTGCTGTGTTCCATAAGAGTAGATTAAATAATTAGGATGATTTTGTTCATATTTAAGAAGGCATTTCTCAGGCAGGCTTTATGGAGGAGAGGTGGAGAATGAGGGCACAAAAACCCAGGAGAAAACCATTCTAATTAAACCATACCTCCAAGCTAAAGGAAATCTCTATTTTTTTAATTTTTTTTATTAAATAAGCAAACAAAATCCTCTCGCTTCCCCTCTTTGATGAATCCTTGCTTCACGGCGGTTCCTGAAGTTACAACAGTACATGGGACCATTAGTCCAATCACCAACTATCAACTCAAGCTGGAGGAAGACAAATGAAGCTTTCTCCCTTTTTCCCTACACAACTTTAACACCACAATTACAGACGTACACATCAAGGTAGGAAGATTGTTGTTGTTGTTGCTTGTTGTTTGTATTTTGGTAGAGCTTCTTTTATCTTTTGTTCTTGGAATTTAAAAGATCTAAGGGAGTTGACCTGGAAAGATATTTATACTTTATTGGAGAATGGGAAAAGTTGTTTACTGGAAGATATATACAGTTTCATCTCACTTTTATGGACATATAAGTGCATGCCTGTGTGTGTCTGGGTGTATATATAATACTTAAGAATGTACAGAAAATGTGGATGAATATAAATTAAAAGGTAGTTTTCATTTTAAGTAACAAAATTGCAGATCATTGTTATTTTTCTCTTTGTGTTTATATGTTTTTTTTCAAATTTTTAACCTTTTAATATTGCCACCACTTATGGAATACTTGCTATGTGTTTTCATAAGTGCTGTTTACATCCATTACCTCATATAATCCTTTCAGATACCCCACGGAGAAGGGTCCTATTACTGTTCCCATTATGCAGATCAAAAAAGTGAAGTCCAGAAAGATTAAGACTCTTGTGTAAAGTCACAAAACTCATAAGTTATAAGTTTAAGATTGGATCGGCCGGGTTCTGTGGCTCACGCCTGTAATCCCAGCACCTTGGGAAGCCAAGGCGGGCAGATCACGAGGTCAGGAGATCGAGACCATCCTGGTCAACATGGTGAAACCCCATTCCTCCTAAAAATACAAAAATTAGCCAGGTGTGGTGGTGCGGGCGTATAGTCCCAGCTACTTGCAAGGCTGAGGCAGGAGAATCACTTGAACCTGGGAGGCAGAGGTTGCAGTGAGCTGAGATTGAGTCACTGCACTCCAGCCTAGTTACAGAGCAAGACTCCATCTCAAAAAAAAAAAAAAAAAGGGATTGTGTTTTTCATGTGAAGATATTTTTTAAACATTATCTAGAGAAAGAACTATGGAATTAATTCCTAAGAAACCAATTTAGAGAGTTAAAGGGAAGGGCAAAACTCACATTCATTTGAAAACTCCCTACCACATTTTCTAGAAGCCAAGTTGTTTGGCCAAAGCTCCAGATATTGGTGTGGTTAAAATGAAGTGAGAAAAAAAGCAGACCAGCAAAGAGCACGATGCCATTTTTCTAAGAGAGAGACAAAGAGAGAGAGTGTTATATTTTCATCTAAGATGATTTTCATTATAAGATTCAATATTGATTTGATGTCCTCTTTTATTTAGAGGGGTATGAGATGAGTGGTGTGAAATATTAAATATATGTACCTATCCTTTATTTTAAGATGTGTCCTGATCTCAGACATCAGGAGAGCATGTGTGTACCTTAGAATCAAGGAATACTCATGGCAGATAATCTTTGCAGAAATAAGGACCAAAGGCCGGGCATGGTGGCTCAGGCCTGTAATCTCAGCACTTTAGGAGGCCGAGGTAGCTGGATTACTTGAGGTCATTCGAGACCGGCCTGGCCAACATGGCGAAACCACGTCTTTACTAATAATATATAAATTTGCTGGGTGTGTTGGTGGGCACCTGAAATCCCAGCTACTCGGGAGGCTGAAGAATTGTTTGAACTCGGGAGGTGGAGGTTGCAGTGAGCCAAGATTGCACCATTTCACTCTAACCTGGGCGACAGAGTGAGATTCTGTCAAGAAGAAAGAAAGAAAGAGAAAGAAAGAAAGAAAGAAAGGAAAGAAAGAAAGAAAGAAGGAAGGAAGGAAGGAAGGAAGGAAGGAAGGAAGGAAGGAAGGAAGGAAAGAAAGAGGGAGGGAGGGAGGGAAGGAAGGAAGGAAGGAAAGAATGGAGGGAGGGAGAAAGGGAGGGAAGGTAGGAGGGAGGGAAGGAAGGAAGGAAGGAAGGAAGGAAGGAGGGAAGGAAGGAAGGAGCAAAATACTCCAAGGAACAAAATATTCCTTATTATCTCTGCATTTCCCATGTTTTCTACATTGAATCCTTATCGCTTTTGTCATAATTAAAAGTTTATTTTAAAGACAAAGCAATTGCACTCAAAAACATCTTTCTGCATTATACCCCATCTCTCATTATACCCCTTTTCTTTGTATGAACCCACAGGGGCAGAGATCTGTAGACCTCTCTGTTCCTAGAAGGGTTAAGCTATGTTTCTGGAGACCACTAGTATTTGACCTACAGCTGACCCATTTTACAGATGAGAAAAAGAAGAATCAAGTCAAATACAAGTTAGAATTCTCAGCCCCTATATTTTAGCAAGGGTCTTTTTGTTGTCTAACAACCTACTTTATAACCCCAAGAGGGTGGTGGATAGAAAGAGAGATATGAAAGGGAAAATCTCATAGAACACCCCAAACAAAAGCAAAGTAGAGAAAAACCTCTTGGAAAGTGACACTAGCTACAATGTTGCTGGAGTAAATATCCAGGGCCAGTCATTTGGAGACCTTTACTCTCCTAATGTAACTCAGTTCTATTCACTTTTCACGTTTGAGTGTCTTCCTCATTTCCTCACCTGTATATCTTCCTTGTCCCTTATAGCACCTCCTTCCTTGCATCTTCCAAGTTACCATGGTTCCTCCGGCCTTAGCTTTGCCCCACACAATCTCTCTGTACAACCTTTTAGCTCCCAAACTTCCCTGTCACCGCCACTCAGTGTCCTCCCAGCTAACTTACAGAAAGAGAGAGAATTACATTGGCCTGTTCACCTTCATCTGTGCCAAGTAACACCACCGGTGACAGCTCAGCTGAAAGGCAATCTATAAAAGACTTCCGCTGAGTCCACGGTGATCCTTATTTCCTTGTATATTGACACCATTCATGCATTTATGGGATCATTCATTTATTCATTCAACAACTATGTATTGAGCACCAACTCTCTGGTAGTTCTAAGCACTGGGAATATAACAGTAGACAAAACAGGCAACAGTGACACAGTGTGTGTAGGGGGGGTCAGGCATTAAATATGATATGTATGTAAATTACATAGTGTATTTGATAGGAATAAATAAGGCAGAGTGAAGTGGAGGGGGAGGTATTAGGGAGGTTATGATTTTAAATAAGATGGCCAGAATAGGCCTCCCCGAGGTGACATTTGAACAACAATTGGGGGTAAGGGAGTATTCCATGATGCCATCTCGGGAAGGAGTTTCAGGCAGAGGAGGCAGTGAGTGCAAAGGTCCTGAGGTGGCAATCATGCCTGGTATGTTTGAGGAGCATTATGGGAAGTCTGTGCCTCTGGAGGAGAGTGAGGAAAAGAACTGTGCAGGAGATGAAATCAGATACCCCCCAGCAGGTGGAGGGTAGGTGGCCAGGTAGAGCCTGTGGGTCACTGTAAGCAATTTGGGTTTTCCCCTCCTTAGTCTAATGAAAAAGAATATTTCACCAAAGCACTTTAGGAGCCCCTCTTTGCACATGTATTGAGGTGTTAAAAACAGAAAAAGGCTACAACAACTTTTCTTTGGGGGAAGAAAAGCTAAAATCATTACGCAGATAAAGTGCATAGAAAGTCCCAGTTGTGGTGCTGGCATGTGTACACACACATATACACGTGTATGCGTGCCTGCTCTCTCTCTCACACACACACGCACACACACACTGTCCTCCCCGAGAAGTAGGGGTGATATAAATAGAGACATGGCGACGGCGAAGGTGGCAGCCTGGAGCCTTGGGCTGAGGTCGGATGAAGCCGCGGCACTAACGCTAATGAATTCTGATGATTTGGAGCGGTCATTAAACTAATAAGCCCATCTCCAAATTAGCACAGCGGTTGCAGCCAGGGAACATTTAATCAGGCCACCTTCATTATTTTAGACACGGCACACTTGGCGAAAGTGGCTGTAGGAGACGAGACTGGGGACCCTCATCTGATAATTTTATCACTTGCCTGCCAGAGCGTGAAGGAATCAGCGTGATGAAGTTGCCCTGTTGGTTTCTTTCCCTGCCAGAAGGGAATGCCAGGGAAAAGCAAGCCTTCGTCTCCTCTATAATTACATGATCCCCATCTTTTTAAAAAATGTCTTGTGATACATTCATGATTTCCAATTTTGAATGTATTCTTAGAGTTTTGCTAGTTGGTGTCTACCTTCTAAAGAGCTTCTGTGCTTCAATTCCTCCCATTCTCTCTCCACCTCCCTCTCCTACCAAAAATTGATCCAACCCCTGGCCCAGCAACCCCACCCTTGCAAACCTCAGCTCAGACAAGGCCATGCATGAGGAAGGAGGGTGGTGGGTGCCCATGGAGATTTTCAATTCCTCTCTTGAAATTTCTAGCCACACTCTCTTTTACATATGCCCCAGCATTCCCTGAAATGCCACCTTTTCTGGGCCAGTTTGTAATCTCTGTGGCCTGATCAAAGATGAGGGTGACCAACTCACCTTGGGTTTCCTGGGACTTTTAGCACTGAAAGTCCCATGTCCTAGGAATTCCTTAGTCCCTGGCAAACTGGGACTGCTGGTCCCCGTGTCAGAGATTCAGCATCATTTCCTTCTCATAGTGGGCTTCAGTTTTTTGAGTGTAGTTTGGGTTTATGTGGTTGTTATTAATAAAGGATGAAATGCTGTTTCCCATAAGCAGCTCTCCCTCTCTCTCTCTTTCTCTCTCTCTCTTCCCCTATATTTCTTCTCTCTGATTCTGTCTCAATTTCTTCTTCTCATTAGGAAGATTAGATGAGTTAACGCTCCATGCATGGGAAAGTTCTGTAAAGATAATTGCATCCAACCCCTTCATTTTAAAAACAACTCAAAATCGACATCACAGAGTGCATGGGGCGGGGCTTTCCCAGCCGGGAGGAGCTGCATGTGGAAACTGAGGCTTAGAGAGTTAAATACTGCACTCAGGATGCCGCAGGCTCGTCCTCGGTGGTCCCTTGCTTCATCCCCAGGCCTGCCTGACTCCAAACACTGCCCTGGTAGGCACTGTCTTCTATGGCCTTAGGGAGCCACTTAACTTCAGTTTCTCCATAATACAAAAAGATAAATAATCCCTGCATTTTCTTCCTCACAGGAAGATTTAGGGTGGAATGAACAAACATACTATAGACGTTCTCTCCAGGAAAAGCAAGTGGTGAACAGTCTAATCACCATTGTGTTTACCCAGGTCCTTTCCCTGGGGTATTCACTTTTCTCTGCCTTAGATAGAAATAGAAAGAGTGTGTGTGTGTTTTGTGTGTGTGTGTGTGTGTGTGTGTGTTTATTAGCTACTGCTGAACAATTTCTCCATAGTTCTCAGAGAAAGTGGCCCTCTGTAGGCATAAGAGGGATAGAACATTGATCCTACAAAAGCATGCAAAGCTAACAGCTGTTCTTACCTTTACAAACACTTCTTTCAGGCCTGGGGAGGCCTCCTGGTTGGAGGATCAGGGAATTAGGCCATGAAGCTGCAGAAACAGGGCAGAAGAAGAATTAAGTAAATAAACATGCCATTTGAAGGTGATTAAGTGGTTGACAGGAACCTCATCGTGGGTGGGTTAGTTAATCAATATTTACTGAATCCTTACATTAGAGGCCATCTTGAGTCTTTAGAAGATGTCGTTCTTGCTGCAGAGGTAATGGAAAAGATCTTTAGAAAGCCAAGACTCCAGTCCCGGCATTTGGCAATCTATACCCTTTCTGACATGATAATGCCCACGATCATTTATTGAGCATTTACTAGGACCCATGATGTACATTATTGAATGTGCATTATTGGTAAATATATATAATAGTAAATATACATAATATATTTTATTTTAAAATATACATTATGAAGTGTATGTTATTTTTATTGGATTCTCACTGTAATCTCTATGAGAAAACTGAGACTCAGAGAAGCTAAGTGACTTACCTGCTGGAATGCAGGCTTCTGCGTACACTTCTCAACTTCCACGGATTCTGCCTCCCTTCGCCTGAGTATCATTCCAGATAGGCTAGAGCAGAACTCTGGGATTCTTATTATGTGCACAGATCACCCGAGGCCCCTTATTAAAATGCAGCTCCTAGATCTGGGTGCAGTGGCCCATGCCTGTAATCCCAGCACTTTGGGAGGCTGAGGTGGGTGGATCGTTTGAGGTCAGGAGTTCAAGATCAGACAGGCCAATATGGTGAAATCCTGTCTCTACCAAAAAATACAAAAATTGGCTGGGCATGGTGGTGCATCCCTGTAGTCCCAGCTACTCAGGAGGCTGAGGCATGAGAATCGCTTGAACCCAAGAGGCGGAGGCTGCAGTGATCTGAGATCTCACCACTGCACTCCAGCCTGGGTGACAGAGTGAGACTCTGTCTCAAAAAAACAAAAACAAAAACAAAAAAACAAAAAAACAAAAAAAATGCAGTCCCTGATTCAGCAGGTCTGAAAGAAGGGTCCAAGATTCTGAATTTCTAACAAACCCCCAGATGAGGCTGATGCAGCCAGTCTGCAGGTCACTCTTTGAGTGTCAAGGGGCTAGGATTTGTGGCAGTAACAAACATCCCCCAAATCTTGATGGATTGAAATAACAAGGGCTCATTTCTTGTGCATGCTGCATGTTCATCACAGGCTGGCTGAGGGCTCTGCTCCATGCCATCCTCCCTTTAAGAATAAGGATAATGGAGGAACTATCATTTGGAATACTGCCATTCTCAAGAGCAGAGGAAAAAAGATCTCTGGTGGATCTCTCACTGGCATTAAATGCCCATCAAGAAGTTCACAACTCATTGGCTAGATTTAATCACATGACCCTAACTAACTGCAAGGAGAGCTGAGATTGTCTATTACATTTGGGAAAGATGAAGAGCCAGAAATATTTGATAAGCATCAGTAAAACCATCACAGCCTCCTACAAATAAATCCAACAAGTGTTTACCAAGCACTGATTAAACAACCAACACTATGGGTGATATTCAAAAAACTCTTCGCTCCCTTTCTTGTGAACCCTGGCTACTTCAACAATAAAAAGGAAAAAATCTGAATGACAGTTCGAATTACATGCACACAAAAGGCACATCAAAAGTTTTGCAACTTTAAAATATGCAGTGACTACAAAGGATCTTTTTGACTTATGCAAAATTTGAATTGCACAAGACTTTCCAAAATAAAAACTCTTGCATAAGCTGGGAGTGACTGTGTTTTAAATGGAGATCACTCTGTACGCACATTTTTGCATACTGTCTTTTTTTCTTATCATTTCTATATCTTGGATTTTATAGATGACATCATTTTCTCAGGCTGTAATATTCTATGACGTATTTAACCAGTCTTTTTTGTTGAATATTCAGGTTCTAATTTTTTTGGCCATTATATTTTTTTCTTCTTTAAGAACACAGTACATCATTAACTCTAGTCACTCGGTTGTAAAGCTGATCTTCTGAATTTATTCCTGTTATCTAATTGAAATTTTGTGTCTTTTGGCAAACATCTCCCCAACAACCACACCCCCTCCACTAGCCCCTGAAAACCAGCATTCTACTTTCTGTTTATATGGGTTAAATGTTTTTAGATTCCACATATAAATGAGAGATCATGCAATATTTGTCGTTCTGTGGCTGGCTTATTTCACTTAGCATAATGTCCTCCAGTTTCTTGCACATTGCCACAAATGACAGGATTTTTAAAATAAAGCTGAATATTATTCCACAGTGTATATCTACCACATTTTCTTCATCTATATGTTGCTCTGTTAGTGGGCATAGGTTGCTTCCATAACTTGGCTGTTGTGACTAATGCTGCCACGAACATGGGAGATGGGAGTTCAGTGATCTCTTTGACACGCTGATTTCACTTCCTTTGGATGTATAACCAGTAGTGAGATTTCTGGATCATATGGTGGCTCTATTTTTTTTTTTTTTCGAGACGGAGTTTTGCTCTTGTTGCCCAGGCTGGAGTGCAATGGCGTGATCTCAGCTTGCAACCTCCACCTCCTGGGTTCAAGCGATTCTCCTGCCTCAGCCTCCCAAGTAGCTGGGATTACAGGCATGCGCTACCATGCCCGGCTAATTTTGTATTTTTAGTAGAGACGGGGATTCACCATGTTGGTCAGGCTGGTCTTGAACTCCCGACCTCAGGTGATATGTCCACCTCGGCCTCCCAAAGTGCTGGGATTACAGGCGTGAGCCGCCACGCCCAGCCTCTATTTTTAATTTTTTGAGGAACCTCCATACTGTTTTCCATAAAGGTCATACCAACTCTGCTATTATTTGCAACAATGAATTAGCTGATGGCAAAATATTTCTGCATATTTATTTCTTTAGAAAAAAACACTAAAAGTAGAATCATCCAGTTAAGAAAAATGAATGCTTTTAAGAGTTTTGCTATGCAGTGTCAAAATGCTACCCTAGAGCTTATACCAATTCAGATTCCCATCAGCATTCTATGAATGTCCATTTCATCACACTCTCACAAGAATGATAAGTAGGTTTTAATCACAAATTTGAGAGTAAAATATGTTATTGCAATTATGGCTTGTGTTTCTCTGGTAACTAATGTGTGTGAATATATATAGTTTTAAATATTCATTAGCAAAATTTTCATTCTTTTTCACTTATTAGTTTATGTCCCAGTTCCATTTTATTTTCCTTTGGGGTTTTAGAATTTTGCTTATTCTATGACTGCTTTATGTAAAAGAGCACTTAACCCTTTGTTGAATATATATGTAGCTAAAATTATTTCCAGTATGTCTCTTGCCTTTTAGTTATCTTTTAAAAAATAAATAAATAAATAAATGATATTGGGGAGACCTGATTTGGTGTAAGTGCTAAGGGAACAATTTGACAATATGTATTGAAAGTTTTTAAAACTTAATACTCCTTGAATAAGCAATTCCACTTATGGAAATTTTTCCTAAGGAAATCCAAATGAATCTGCCAAAATATTCAGGTACCTGATTAATCATTGTAGTGCTGCAAATGATAACAAAATGAGGTCTTTATTTAGTGAGACCTACCCATTCTTTCTTTCCTTGTGTTTCCTTTTTATTGTTTATATCAATGTTATACTAAGAGACATAAAGATGATGTCATTTTACTATTCTTTGAAGTTTTCTTTTTTGCTTAATTAAAAATGGATAGATAGATAAAACAAACATGGATAGCTATATGATAGTAGATGATAGGTAGGTACGTAGATAGATTAGATTAGATAGATAGATAGATAGACAGATAGATAGATAGATGATAGAGATAGATACATAGATAGATAGACAGACAGACAGATAGATACACAGATAATAGGTGGGGTGAATGGATGGGTAGATAATCATATATATAATTATGTATATAAATACTGTGTATATAGATATACAGATACATATATGTATGCATGTATGTATACACACACACAGAAGGAGAGACAGAAAGGGGGAGAGAGAGAGACAGAGACAGAAACAGTGTCAGAGAGAGACAGGGAGAGAAAGAGAGAGCGAGAGAGATCCACTGGTTCCCTATATTGAATGTACATGAGGATCACATGCAGAGCTTTAGTAACTTACACAAGTCTGGGCTCCTCCTCCAGAAAGAATGATTCAGTGGGGTTGGGTGGGGCCCAGGCATGGAGGAAAGAGCGTGAGCAATGGTACTAGGAAGAGAAGCCAAGAATCAGAGAAAAAACAAGGGGGCAGCTGAGTCACCTCCAAAGCAGAGAGCTAGAGTTCAGAATGAGCAAGCTCCTGCCTAACTGAAAGTAAAATCCACACTCCGCCAAACGGCACTGAGGCTGCATTCCCACCCAGCCCTGGAGCATTGCTCAGAGCCCACCTTGTCCCAGGCTCCCCAGCCTCAACCCACCCAGTTCCCCTGGTTTTTGTTTCTGTTTCCCCAAAATGCCAAGCCGGTTTCTGTCCCAGGATCTTTGTTCCTGAGCTTCTCTCTGCCTGAGACATGGCTGTTTCTCATTATTTATTTAACAAAGTACAAAAGGCACATCCTCAGGGGCACCCTTCCTGGACTCTTTCTTTCAAACACCACCCCAGTTCCTCATAACCAGGTACTTCCTGCCTCATGACCACATCTTGGGGCTCTCTCCTCCATCCCTCTCCATGGCTCAGTTCTCTCCATCTCTTTCTCACCTAACCAGGGCACCTGCTCACCCCTTCAGCTTCTGCTGTGGGTTGTCAGTAATTCAAGTCCATCAGGCTCATCTCTGGAAAGGACAATGGGGATGGTGTCACATCATCTTCCAAGTATGACTTTCAGTTTCTCTTCACCTATCGATGTGCTATTATGCCAAAAGCCTGTCTGCTCTCTTGCTCTCTCTGCCTTCAGTTGTATTGCCAAATGTGCCTTTTATTACCCTATCCTTGGTGTATGCCATTCTGGAGTGTGGGTAGGAAATACTGCACCCCATATATGAATTGTTCCACTGATCTCTTGAAAACCTAGAGTGAGAATATATTTAATGAGGACCTACCATGTTCTAGGTATTGTGATGGGCAATGAAGATTAAGATGTTCTCCCATTAGTCAAGGATCTTTCAGGCACTCTTCAGTTTGCCACAGTCCCGGTGACTCCCTATCGTTCCCCTTAGCCTGCTTTATACATTTCTTACTCGCCACGTCCCTGTCGCCATTTGAGATTCTAATATTTGTTGTTGAAATTGTTAAGAAGTTTACAGCAGGTTTTAAGCAGAGATGTGACAGGGATCTGTTTTGTTATTTATAGGGGACATAGACATGTAAACACAATTCCAGTTCTGTAAATGTCATTAATCATGTACTATTTGTTGAGCACCTTCTATGTGCCTGGCCTGTTGAAGTCCTGGGCACTGTTTTAGGTGCTATGACAAGAGTAAGGCAGAATGCCTTAAGAATGTACCAGAGGATCCCTTTACTCACTTCGAGGATTCAGATGGGATTTCCTGATGGAAGATGGTGACTAAGAGCGAAAGAGTCTGCAAGGGATAAAATGCTCCAGGCAGAAGAAATAGAAAATGCAAAGCTCAGGGTTAAGAACATGGGGAGTTTGAGGAGGTAAGAGCAGTTCAGTAGGCAATGCAGGGGGTAATAGGAATTCAGAGTCTGGAAGGATAAATAAGGGCCAGTGGTTCCAAACTGCAGATTCAAGAGCCAAACGCTACCCTTCAAAATGTGTGTTTTGGGACATTCATGTGCTGTTGAAAAATATTTTTGAAATGGTTATCATTCAAAAATGGGCAGATTTCACATAAACATATAAACTTTCAACTTATATTTTAAATGGGGGAAAATCTGGTCACAGTGGGCCCAGATTTGCATGTGTCAACTGTCAGCCAAGAATATGTATCTTCTACTTCTTGTCTCTCTAATTTGCCATAGTCTCCACCCATCTCTACTGCTTCCCACTTGTCTTCCACTTCTCTCATTTATATTCCCTGCCTGGTCTCTGCACACAGTTATGCTTCTGATACCTGTTGTTGGGATAGAGAAGTCAGCAGAGGCCAGATTCCCTAGACCCTTGAAGGCTGTTTTGTCTTTATCTTTAAAGCAATGAGGATCTGTTAAACCATTTGAAAGAGGGGAACAATTGGACTTTTGTGATTTGAAAAAGAACTCTCTGGTATATAATATGCTCACCAGAAGACAGGACCTGGACTATTCATAGTTGTAGAATTTATAAGAATTCCTGGCTGGGGTGCGGTGGCTCATGCCTGTAATCCCAGCACTTTGAGAGGCCGAGTTGGGCGGATCATGAGGTCAGGAGTTCAAGACCAGCCTGGCCAACAGGGTGAAACCCCATTTCTACTAAAAATACAAAAATTAGCTGGGCATAGTGGCATGTGCCTGTAATCCCAGCTACTCGGGGGGCTGAGGCAGGAGAATTGCTTAAACCTGGACCTGGGAGGCAGAGGTTGCAGTGAGCCGAGATCACGCCACTGCACTCCAGCCTGGGCTACAGAGCGAGACTCCATCTCAAAAATAAATAAATAAATAAATAAAATAAAAATCAAGAATTCCTAACTGAAAACTTCCCAATGCCTGTTAACAGTAGAATTAAGAAATCATTGAATAACTGTGGCCTATTCACACAATGAGTCCTATGCAGAGATTAAAAAGAATGATCTACAACTACCCACAATAACACAAATGACTCTCACAAAAATGAGACACAAGAGAGGGCATGCCTTAAAATTCCACTTAGGTAAAGTATAAAAAGAAATCATACTAGTTTATGGTGTTACAAGTCCAGATACCAGTTGCCCTCGGGCAAAGAGGGATACAAGGGGTTTGATGAGGTTCTGTTTCTCATGGGTGCTGGTTACACGATGTGTTTAGTTTGTGACAATTTATTAAGCTGGACACTTGAGACCTGTGCCATTCTCTGATGGTCCATGAATTTAAATATTTTTAAAATGAACTTTTTTGGTACCATTTTCGAAATGATGGTGGCTGGCCCAAGATAGTGGTTCTCAAACTTTTCAAGAATGGAGTTAAAAAATGATAAATAGGAGATAAAACCTACTAAACTTGGATTTGCAGAGATGAATGAGGAATGGGGGTAGAGGGAGATTTGGGGGCAGGAAAAACAACATGAGAACAACGACAGCCATTGGAGGGTTCCAGGTATGTTCAGAAGAAAAAGGGAAATCATTCATCTCGACTCTTAATAAAGTGGAGTGAGA
Organism: Homo sapiens; assembly: GCF_000001405.40. Classification (NCBI taxonomy): domain Eukaryota; kingdom Metazoa; phylum Chordata; class Mammalia; order Primates; family Hominidae; genus Homo; species Homo sapiens. Next base: position 115,357,238 of record NC_000012.12, read on the forward strand.
ATAACAGGAAACTACACAGATATCCCCCTACACCAAGTCAGGGATTCAAAGGAACTCAGAGGAAAAATAAATGCATAATTTGCTGATGAAACATTTACTTGCTTAAAAATGTCACATGATTTAAAAACACATGTAATAAGAATGGATGTGTGCCATGGAAAGTTGTCCCCCATAAATTTCCTCTAAAGGTGTCTAAAGTATCCTTCCTTTCCTTCAGGTACCATCTGCTTTAGGACTCTCTCTGCTTCCTCCTCTCCTCTCCAACCTCACAAATATCTTTATCAAATTCTTGTTGAAACATGGAAAAGAAAAATATTTCCAGCAGTGAAAGCTTTAACTTGTCACCTCCTGTTCTTCTCGAATTTCTAAAGCACGGAGGCCCAGAGAATATGTTTCCAATATCCTCTCGTCTCTCTCTGTTAGCATTTTGCTCCCTTCTACACCAAGGAGGTTCTGACCCCTGGTGTCTCTTGGGGATGAGGGGTTTGGAGTGGGGTCAGGCTTGTCAGAAAGGGAGAAGCCACGGCCGCCTTGAACAGCCCACGTCCCCCGGCTCCTTTAATACATTTAACCTGGAAGAGGCATTGCTCCAGCCAAGATTAGATTACGGGGTTGGTGAAGGTGGCCTAACAAATGGCAAATGGTGGCATGTGAGGCTGAGCTAATCTCTGTTGACACGCATCTAATGCAAGGCCCGTGTTGAAGGCAGCGGGTCCCGTCTGCAGCTCCAGTCTGCCTTGATGACCAAAGGGGGAGGCGAGGCCCAGGGAAAGCCACTGAGATGCCTGTCTCTTTCAATCTGAGAGCGCCTGGAGTGTGCACGTCATTATTTAAAGGTCTCCTGGTACCAGCTAAATGTCTCTGCTTCCTATGGGCACTGAGGTCGAGTTCAGCTTTTCTCAGAATGAGCTTTTGATTATTGGAATTCTCTAAAATCATGTTGACCTCCCTGGAAGTCTGAGAATTATATCATTCATTCATTCAACGAATTTGGATTAATTTCTCTTTTGTGCAGAGCCCTAGTAGAGGTGCGTCAGACTCCAATTCTTTGTTCCCTGTGAAAGTCACATAGATAAGTCCAACTCTACTACCTCCTATGAGAAGTTGGACAGATTTAAATTTTTCAAGTCCCGGTTTCCTCATCTAGTGCTTGTCTGGCTCCTACATTTACTCCAGGGCCCTTGATATGGATTTGTGTCCCTGCCCACATCTCATATTGAATTATAATACCCAGTGTTGGAGGAGGGGTCTGGTGAGAGGTGATTGGATCATGGGGGTGGATTTCCCACTTGCTGTTCTCATGATAGTGAGTGAGTCCTCACAAGATCTGCTTGTTTATAAGTGTGTAACACCTCCACCTTAGCTCTCTTCCTCCTGCTCTGGGCATGTAAGATGTTGCCTTCTTCCCCTTTGCCTCCCATCATGATTGTAAGTTTCCCAAGGCCTCCCCAGAACCTGTACAGCCTGAAGAAATGTGAGCCAATTAAACCTCTTTTCTTTTTGTAAATTACCCCGTCTCAGATAGTTCTGTATAACAAAGAGAGAATGGATGAATACAGCCCTGCACATGCTAGTAACTATTTGTAGAACAGGATCATCTATAGAATAAACACAGCTGACTAGAAATACACATGCACAGCAGAATTTAGTAGCCTAATCATGTATCCAAATGCCATCTACATGTTATATTTTGTGGCAAAAAGTTTGTCATCTCTACTTTCCCCCTGCTTCCATCCCACTAACTAGAATGTAAGATCCACAAAGGCAAGGATTCTCAAGCACCTGGATTAGTGGCTGAATTGTTGTTAGGAGTATAATAAATATTTGGAAAGCATCTATCAAATAGTGAGTTAATGAGTAAATGAATGAATGAATAAATGAATGGAAAAATTTATTGGATCAATCCTCCTGGAAGGTAGACCATTGACATATTTAACATCTCTGCATATCATTTTATTTCCCTTCTCTCTTTTTCAATAAGATCAATTCTTCTGCCTTTTAAATATTAATTAAGCTATCACACATTTGGTACCATGTAGCCAGGCTCTGTGGCCAGATAATCTGGGCTTCAATTTTACCTTCATCACCTGTTAATTGGGTGATTTTGGCAAGTCATTAGGCCTCTGTGTGTGTCCAATAACTCAGTTGTAGAATGGAGGAAATTACCAACTACTCAATTAGGTTGGTGTGAGGTTCAAATGAGTTTATGTAGGTCAAGTGCTAAAAACAGTGCCTCACACATTGGTAGCTATTACAAATGTTCATAAGTGTTGAATAATGTTGATATTTAGTAAAGTAAATCTATTTGAGAGAGGCTGGGTGTATAATGGCTCATGCCTGTAATCCCAGCACTTTGGGAGGCCAAGGCAGGATTGTTGAGCAGAGTCCAGGAGTTCAAGACCAGCCTGGGTTAACATAGTTAGACCCTCTCTATATAAAAAATCACATACACGCGCACACACACACACACACACACACACACACAACTAGCTGAGAATAAAGAAACTACAAATAATATTAGAAAACAGAAAGAAAAATATAAACATGAGGGCTAGTTTTAACCACTTTAATGAGGTATGACTGATGTTCAAAAACCTGCACATATTTAATGTATACAACTTGAGAAGTGTGGAAATAGGCATACACTCGTGAAACCATCACCACAATCAATGTCATAAACACATCTATCACCTTCAAAAGGCTTCTCCCACCCTTTTTATTTGTTATTACTATTTTTTGTGATAAAAACAGGTAACATAAGATCTAATCTCTTAACAAACTTTTAAGTATGTAATATAGTATTATTAACTGTAGGCACTATACTGTACTGTAGATCTCTAGGAGTTATTTATCTCATATAACTAAACTTTGTACCCTTTGACCAACAGATCCCCATTTCCTTTCCCACTAACCCCTGGCAATCACCATTGTACTCTCTGCTTCTACGAGTTTGACTAAGTTAGATTCGTCGTATACAGAAGTTTATGCGGTATTTGTCCTGCTGTGCCTGGCTTATTTCATTTAGCATAATGGTCTCCAGATTCATTGATGTTGTCACAAAGGTAGGATTTCCTTCTTTTTAAAGTCTCAATAAAAGTATATGTATATACCACATTTTCTTTATGCATTCATCCATCAATGGGAATTGAGATTGCTTTCATGCCTTGGCTATTGTGAATAATGTTGCAATGAACATTACGTTGTAATGAAGTGCAGATATCTCTTTGAGATCTTGATTTCAATTCTTTTGGATATATATTCAGAAGTGAAATTGCTGGAGTTTATGGTAGTTCTATTTTTAATTTTTGTAGGAACCTCCATACTGTTTTCCATACTGGCTGTGCCAATTTACGTTCCCACCAGCAGTGTACAAAGGCTCCCTTTTTTCCACATCCTCACTTACATTTATTATCTTTGGAGTGAGATAATAAGTGATACATAAGAGATAACAGGTGCGAGATGGTGTCTTATTGTTGTTTTGATTTGCATTTCGCTGATGATTGATGATGTTGAGCGCCTTTTCATATACCTGTTGGCCATTTGTATATTTTCTTTGGAGAAATGTCTACTCAGATCCTTTGCCAATTTTTTAATCAGGTTATTTGGTTTTGGGTTTTGGGGTTTGGGTTTGTTTTACTATTGAGTTGTAGGAGTTCCTCATGTTTGTTTGTTTGTTTGTTTTGAGACAGATTTTCACTCTTGTTGCCCGGGCTGGGGTGCAATGGCCCGATCTCAGCTCACTGCAACCTCCGCCTCCCGGGTTCAAGTGATTATACTGCCTCAGCCTCCCGAGTAGCTGGGATTACAGGCATGTGCCACCATGCCCAGCTAATTTTTGTATTTTTAGTAGAGACAGGTTTCACCATGTTGGCCAGGCTGGTCTTCAACTCCTGACCTCAGGTAATCCACCCACCTTGGCCTCCCAAAGTGCTGGGATTACAGACGTGAGCCACCGCATCCGGCCTATATGTTTTGCATGTTAACCTTTTATCAGATATATGGTTTGTACGACCATAATGTTTAAAATAAAAAGCACACTATATAAATACACACATATAATTTACATCACAACAAAATAATCAATATTCTGGAAGTAGAAGTTACCAGATTAAAGAAACAGAGGACAAGCGTCATTGAACAAGCATCATAGAAGACAGTATTCAAAAACTTTATCCCCCAAAAAGATTCAGAGGTCAATTTTAATAGTCAGTTTTTCAACGTGGATACATTGGTAATTTTCATGCCATACGTATACATTTGTTTTAGACCATAGGGAAAGATGAATCACTGCGTACTGCATTCTTTGCAGCTGTGACACTGGCAACACAGCGGAAGACCAAATTGATACAAGAAAAGAAAGCTACAGACTAATCTCACCTAGAATCATAAATGCAAAAATCCTTACTAATTAACTTAAATATTACGTTAAAAACACGAGTCTTCATGTTCAGTGAGGGCTTATGCTAGAATACAATATAAAATAGCTCATCTGTATACCAAAGTAAAAATGTATAATAATTTCGATAGATTCATAAAAGGCATTAAAAAACATCAACATCATTTTACCAAAACATCTTTCAGAAAACTTGGAATAGAAGGATAGATATTTTTCGTAAAACTTTCTAAAGATTGCCTATCTTAAAACCACATGCAGAGTGCTATTTAATAGCAACTTGTATAAGTATTTTTGTCAGAATTGAAATATTAGGTTGGTGCAAAACTAATGGCAAAAATCACAATTACTGTTATGTCAACCTACTGAGACAATGATATTCACTATCACCATTAGCATTTAACATCTTTCCTGGGAGATGAGATGTAGGCAACATAAGAATTCATAAGACAGAAATAGATTAATAGACATAAAAAAGGAAAAAAAAAAGTCCTTTGCAGATGATATAATATTCTACCTGAAAACACAAAGGAAACAATTGAAAATCATCAAAACCCAATAAAGAGTTTAGTTGCATTGCCAGATACTACATAAAACATTCAGAAATCAATAGTTTTCTTAAACAGCAACAAATGGCTAAAAAATAAAAGGGACTCAGCTTCAATAGCAACCATTTTTATTAAATGCCTAGAAAACAATACAAAATATATAATACCATATGCAAAAAATTACTAAACATTCCTAAAAGGCATATGAAAATATTTGATTGAATGAAAAGATTCAACATTCTAAAGATGTCATTTCCTTCCAATTGTTTAAGATGCAACGCAATTCTAAAACAAAATACCAGTGATTACTTTTGTGAGTTGCCACTAAGGGGCAGGAGGGTGGCAAAGTAGTTTTCAAGTTCCTTTGGATGAGTAAATGTACAAGTTTAGCCAAGAATTTCTTTCCAAGGATGAAAGTATTTGCCTTTCCAGATGATAATGTTAACTAGCAACAATAATCAGATCATATGCATTGGAGGAAGGGTTGAGAGAATGTGCTCGAAGAGATAGAAGAGTGGACACAGAAATAGACTTTATTCAATGATTTAGTGTTTGATAAAGGTGGCAGCATGGCTCAGGGGAAATGAAGGGTTATTCAAAACAGGTGCTGGAGCATTGGATCTCTGACAGGTCCTCATCCGCTCTAAAGACTGCTTTTGAGCTTAATCATATTTCATTAACCTCCATGGTATCTTTTGCAGAATCTGCATCACCAAATTGCCTTTTTAAGGGCTTTTCAGGGGTACGAGAAGAAAGATAAAGTGATAAAGAAGAGCAAGATCCTATGAGGGTGAAATTCTGACCTCATTTCTTTTGCTGGTTCTCATTTCAGGTCATTTGAGGCAGCAGATACTCGGGTGCTAAAAATCCCTCCAAACATCTCAACATTTTTTCCCCCTCGGGATCAGTATGGTGTCACGGGAAGAAGTTTAAAGAATGAATAGCATGTCCAGCCATCCCACTGTGTGTCTATAGATGCCAGGCCAGCCCAGGAGGCAAGATGGTACCGTGTTAGAAGTACCCTGGCAGACCTAAGTTCAAACTTCACCTCTGCTACTTTCTGGCTGTGTGGGCAATTTTGGGCAAGTTACACAGCCTCAATTTCCCCACCCACAAAATGGGAGTTATGCTACCTATCTCAAAAATCACAATGAGGATTAATTCAGTTACTAACAATATCTCCTTTTAGACACACCGTGCCTCAGTTTCCCCATCTATACATTACTTGTACCTACCTCATGGGATTTGTATTAGTCAGTATTAGATATCATACTGGTAATAAAGACATACTGGAGACTGGGTAATTTATAAAGAAGAAGAGGTGTAATGGACTCACAGTTCTACGTGGCTGGGGAGGCCTCACAATCATGGCAGAAGGCAAAGGAGAAGCAAAGGCATGTCTTACATGGTGGCAGGCAGGGACAGCATGTGCAGGGGAACTCACCTTTATAAAGCCATCACATCTCATGAGGCTTATTGACTATGGCTAGAACAGCACAGGCAAAACCCACCCCCCATGATTCAGTTACCTCCCACTCGTCCCTCCCACAAAACATGGAGATTATTGGAGCTACAATTCAAGAAGAGATTTGGGTAGGGACACAGCCAACCCATATCAGGATTGCTGTGAGAATTAAGTGATTTAATATACAACAAAGATCCTAGAAGTGTTCTAGAACATGGCAAATACTCATTGTATGCTGTCAATTAATTTTATTATAGTCAAATCCAGATATTTGTTAAATATTCAACTGATAATGGTTATAATTATTATTAATAGCTTTTTATAATATCATTAGTCAGTATGTATTATTACAATATCTAACTGATTTTTTAACCTAACAAACTAATTTTCTTGCTGAGCTGATTTATCTGTTGTCTCATAGATGCACTTTCAGATTCCTGATGGCAGCCGCTATAAGCAAAAGTTTCCTGGAGGTGCTCCTCTCTCTCCAATCAGCTTCCCAGTTCTACAAAACTGGACTTCAGGTTGTCACATATAGAGGTTTTCAACCACTATCAGCTTTGGTCTTCCATGGTATTCAGCAAAGAACTAGCCCACATATTGTAGTGAAGACTCCCTTAGATCACATGACAGTATTTGAGACTGGAGATGCCATGTAGTGAGTTTGTTTTTTTTTTTTGAAATGAGAAGCGAGACATCAACTCACGGGTAAAGTACCCATAGCCGTTATTTTTTCCCTCCATTCTTCCCTCTCTCCCTTCACCCCAGCTAAAGACAGAATTTGACTTCAAATTAATTTGAGGCCAATGTTTTTCATACTGCTAGTGCTGAGAGAAGAAAGGCAACGGCTTCTCACCCGTGTTAACTTATACTTTCTCTTAACCCAAGGAATCAATACTGTATCACTTAGTCCTGGGAAGAGGGAGTAAAAGGTAGTTGCCTGAATGAACCTTTGGCATTCATTTATCTACAGAACCCTCCAAAAACAAAATTCCTATTGAAAGGAAACCTGCACAGCACCAGCTTGTACCTTGCACCTGTTCTGTTAAAGTCATTCACAGAGCAGAATACATTAGAATAGATAAAATGTTTTGGTGTGCAATCAGTCTATTTAGCATTTATTGCCTCAGAAAAACAATAAGAGGGAGAGAGAGAGAGAGAAATACATCCAGAGATATCATAGGATTTCTGGAAAGAAAGGGAAAAATTATCTCAGTAATATAGTATTGTCTTCCTTCCTTCCAAAAAAAAAAAAATGCCTCTCAGAGCTAGACATTTCCATCGAATAGCTCTATTAATGTTTTTCTCCCATGAGAAAATGTTCTGTTGGATTGGATTTCAGGCAGTGAAAAGTCCAGGTTGCCAGAACTAGCTTGAGGCTGTAGTGTGGTAGGGCTGGGGAAAAAAGATCAAGAGAAGTATTGGAGCACCCTCCGGCATGCACAAGCTGCTCCTGCCTCACTCTCCAGGCCAAGGTAAACGTGAAATCCAATGCTCAAAAAAATCTGAGTGTTTGTCATTGCTCAGAGAGAAAAATGCAACAGTTCCAGAAAAAGACTGCATTCACATTCTATGGGGAGCTTATACATTCAAGAAGCATGTACTGAGTAGCTGGCTACATGTTCCATGCTGTCTGCATTCACCCTTCACTGTAGATGAGAGACCACCTACTGTCCTCATTTTACAGATATAAGCCTGAAGTCAGCCAGCCCCACGTGGTTTCTCTGTTTTAACTGATGTCAGTGCTCTTGCAGACAACTGTTCGCATCAAAAGCATTCAGTGGTGAGCTATGCAGATTTTGCTGAAGGTTCCGCAGGGCAAAGGGGAGAGGATGTTTACATCACAAACTCACCAAAAAAAAAAAAAAAAAAAAAAAAAACACACACACACACACACACACACACACAAAACAAACAAACAAACAAAAAACAATGAAAGCTCCTCATTGGGCAAGTAGTCTCTATAGCTGACTCCTCCTTGTGCTTCCATCAGTGGAAAGTGTTCTCCATCCTTTGCCCAATGCGGTACCTGGCTTCTTTCCCGTTCCTCCTGCAGTTCCTCTGATGGAGCCTCAAATGCCTCCTCTTATTATGTAGTACACTTCACCCCCAGCCTAATTCCACTTCCAAGTATGTGCACCAACTCCCATCACAGGGTTAACCAACCCTTCCTACTAAGACATTCCCCACTGTGCCTGATATGGTTTGGCTGTGTCCCCATTCAAATCTCAACTTGAACTCTCTTTCCCAGAATTCCTACGTGTTGTGGGAGGGACCCAGGGGGAGGTAATTGAATCATGGGGCCAGTCTTCTCCACGCTGTTCTCGTGATAGTGAATACATCTCATGAGATCAGATGGGTTTATCAAGGGTTTCCGCTTTTGCTTCTTCCTCATTTTTTTCTTGCTGCTGCCATGTAAGAAGAGCCTTTCACCTCCCACCATGATTCTGAGGCCTCCCCAGCCATGTGGAACTATAAGTCCAATTAAACCTCTTTTTCTTTCCAGTCTTGGGTATGTCTTTATCAGCAGTATAAAAATGGACTAATATAGTAAATTGGTACCAGTAGAGTGGTGCTTTGCTGAAAAGATACCCGAAAATGTGGAAGCAACTTTGGAACTGGGTAACAGGCAGAGGCTGGAACAGTTTGGAGGGTTCAGAAGAAGACAGGAAAATATGGGAAAGTATGGAACCTCCTAGAGACTTGTTGAATGGCTTTGACAAAAATGCTGATAGTGATATGAACAATAAGGTCCAGGCTGAGGTGGTCTCAGATGGACGTGAGGAACTTGTTGGGAACTGGAGCAAAGGTAACTCTTGTTATGTTTTAGCAAACAGACTGGTGGTATTTTGCTCCTGCCCTGGAGATTTGTGGAACTTTGAACTTGAGCGAGATGATTTAAGATATCTGGCAGCAGAAATTTCCAAGCAGAAAAGCATTCAAGAGGGACTTAGGTGCTGTTAAAAGCGTTCCATTTTAAAAGGGAAACAGAGCAAAAAAGTTTAGAAAATTTGCAGCCCGATGATGCAGTAGAAAAGAAAAACCAATTTTTTGAGGAGAAATTCAAGCCAGCTGCAGAAATCTGCATAAATAGCAAGGAGCCTAATGCTAATCCCCAAGACCATGGGGAAAATGTCTCCAGGCCATGTCAGAGACCTTCCCGGCAGCCCCTCCCATCACAGGCCGGGAGGCCCAAGAGGAAAAAGTGGTTTTGTGGGCCAGGCCTAGGGTCCCCATGCTGCGTGCAGCCTATGGATTTGGTGCCCTGTGTTCCAGCCACTCCAGCCATGGCCTAAAGAGGCCAATGTACAGCTCAGGCTGTGGCTTCAGAGGGTGGAAGCCCCAAGCCTTGACAGCTTCCAGATGGTGTTGAGCCTGTGAGTACACAGAACTCAAGAATTGAGGTTTGGAACCTCTGCCTAGATTTCAGAGGAGGTATGGAAATGCCTGGATGCCCAGGCAAAACTTTGCTGCAGGGGCGGGGCCCTCATGGAGAACCTCTGCTAGGTCAGTGTGGAAGGAAGATGCGGGGTTGGAGGCCCCCCTCACAGAGTCCCTACTGGGGCACTGCCTAGTGGAGCTGTGAGAAGAGGGCCACTGTCCTCTAGACCCCAGAATGGTAGATCCACTGACAGCTTGCACTGTGTGTCTGGAAAAGCTGCAGACACTCAATGCCAGCCCATGAAAGCAGCTGGGAGGGAGGCTGTACCCTGCAAAGCCACAGGGGCAGAGCTTCCCACGTCCGTGGGAACCCACCTCTTACATCAGTGTGACCTGGGTATGAGACCTGGAATCAAAAGACATTATTTGGGAGCTTTAAAATTTGACTGCCCCATTGGATTTCAGACTTACATGGACCCTGTAACTTCTTTATTTTGGCCAGTTTCTCCCATTTGGAATGACTGTATTTACCCAATGCCTGTAACCCTATTGTATCTGGGAAGTAACTAACTTGCTTTTGATTTTACAGGCTCATAGGTGAAAGGGATTTGCCTTGTCTTAGGTGAGACTTTGGACTGTGGACTTTTGGGTTAATGCTGAAATGAGTTAAGACTTTGGAGTGCTGTTGGGAAGGCATGATTGGTTTTGAAATGTGAGAACATGAGATTTGGAGGAGCCAGGGGTGGAACGATATGGTTTGGCTGTGTCCTTATTCACATCTCAACTTGAATTGTACCTCCCAGAATTCCCAAGTGTTGTGGGAGGGACCCAGAGGAAGGTAATTGAATCATGGGGGCCAGTCTTTCCTGTGCTACTCTCATGATAGTGAGTAAGTCTCATGAGATCTGATGGGTTTATCAGGGGTTTCTGCTTTTGTTTCTTTCTCATTTTTCTCTGCCACCACCATGTAAGAAGTGTCATTCACCTCCCGCCATGATTCTGAGGCCTCCCCAGCCATGTGCCACCATAAGTCCAATTAAACCTCTTTTTCTTCCCAGCCTCAGGTATGTCTTCATCAGCAGTGTGAAAATGGACTAATACAGTACCTTTTTTGGATCAGTGAGGGTAGAGAGGCAGAGTGGGGTATGCTGGTCTCTTGCCAAGCTGGGTAAACAAAGGCCAAGAGAAGGGAGGCAATTATCTTGCTGTTAGGGAATAATAAGTTTCCAAATTCAGACATTCTAGTGTCTTTCACCTCTAGATCAGCCCACCTCTCCCAAAGCTCTGTGAAATTAACCAACAATTATGATTCTGGAAAAGAAAACAGAAAATAAAGGGTATGGTATAAAAATGCAAGAGTATTAGGCATCAAGAATACTAGATCTAAAAGGGAAGTCAGAGGTCAACACTGGTACACAGTGCCTAGAATTTCCTTTAATATCCAAGCACATTGGATTTTGTGCCTTGTCTTGGATACTCCCAGTGGCAGAGAGCTTAGTATCTCTTGAGACAATCTATTCCACTTTGGACAGCTCTGGGCAATTTTTCCTTTTCCCTGAGCCAAACTCAACTTTCCTTCAACTTTAACAATTGCTAATTCTTCCTTCTGGATCTATATAGCATAAATCAAGTGCCTCTTTAACATGATGTCTTTCTAATATTTGATGGCAGCTAAACCATATGTTATCTCATTCAGAAGCTTCCTGACCTCCTTGTGAGGTAGAGGTATTTTTCACACCCATTATACAGATGAGAAAGTAGTCTAAGTGAGGTGAGGAATATCTGAAAACTTAGAGCAAGGGAGTCTCAGAGACTGGGCTTGAACCCGAGACACAAAGATTTGAGCCCCCAGCAAAAGGCAATTTGAATAGCTTCTCGATCTATTATTGTAATTAGACTACGTTAACTTTATTAGCTGTTCCTGATGTCAGCAAAACTGATCCATAAAAAATGTGAAATGTATATTGAAAGCATTCAAATAAGAAAGGAAGAAAAGAAACATAGAGGAAGGAAAAAGAAAGGACACAGGCAGAGGCAGAGAAACTTCAGTATGTAGATAGAGAAGAGAAAGAGAAGGAGAGGAGGGAGAGAGGGAAGAGAAAACTAAGACGCCAGTGATTCAAAGATGGTTACCAACCCTGATGCTGCTGGAATCCTGGAGGTCTTCTGAAGGTCTCCGTAGCTGGGGATTCCAGGAATTGGGACTTCTGCATCAATATCAAGAAAAGATAAAACCCTTTCCGCTTGTGGGTCCTGAATATCATCAATTTACAAGAGAGGGTAGAATATGCTTTTCTGTTGAACACAAGTAGAGGACACTTCAATTTGATATTGAAGAATATTTTAAATACATGGGTATTATTTTCCTCTAAAACGGGGTTCTTAATATTGGATCCATAAATTAAACTTCTAAGTTAAAGGGGTCTTTGAACCCCCCGAAATTATATATAAAACATTGTATGAGTATTCAATTATCTTTCTTTGTATTCTCAAATTCTTCTTCTTCTTTTTTATTTTATTTATTTATTTATTATTTTTGAGAAAGTGTCTCAATCTGTTGCCCGGGCTGGTGTGCAGTAGTATGATCTCGGTTCACTGCAACCTCTGCCCCGCCAGGCTCAAGTGATCCTCCCACCTCAGCCTTCCAAGTGGCTGAGACTACAGGCATGTGCCATCACACCCAGATAATTTTTGTATTTTTTGGTAGAGATGGGTTTTCGCCATGTTGCCCAAGGTGGTGTCAAACTCCTGAGATCGAGTGATCTGCCGAACTTGGCCTCTCAAAGAACTGAGAGGCATGAGCCACTGTGCCCGGCCTCAAATTCTTATTTGTTATATGACTTTGTGACATTTCCATAGTGGAGGCATAACTGATAAAATAGAGCAACCCAGAGTTTGGAAGAATAAGTCCTGGATCTCAGACTTCAGTGAGCCACTCACTAGTTTCAGCTTGCAAATTGAGACTTTCGCAGGCCATTTCTTCTCTGTAGGAGCTGGGCGTGAACTAGGACCACTTAAAATGTATTAGATGTTGTTTGGGGTGATGCTGGGAGCTGCCACCAGTCCCCTACTTTCTCCTCCCCGCTTCCAGCAAGGGTACTTTGTTGTATAACAGTTGTGTATGTATATGTGACCCTATGGCAACGTCATAACGGATTGAAGTAGGGCACATTGGATCCTCTCTCGTTGGGATTTGGAATGGAATTCAAAGATAATAGTCAGTCTCTGCTGGTTGGTGAAACTAAGCAGATGGAGAGGTGAGAGCTATGGATTGGCCATGCTTAGTCTACATGGAGAGCACAGGCGCTGATCTTAGGAGTGGAAGAGAAGAATACAGATGTCACAAGAGGATCAGAGAGAGTGTGTGGGTGTGAGGGTGTGTGTGGGAGAGAGAGAGGGAGGGAGGATATGTATCGTACATGTATGTGTGCATATGCACAGAGGAAAGCTCTGAAAAGATAACACATCAGACTAACAATAGTTGCTCTGGCTGGTGAGATTGAGTGCTTTTTATTCTCTTCCTCCTATTTCTCTGTATTGACTGTATTTTTTTTTTTTTGCAGCAGTCACACATTAATTTTATAATCAGCAAAAATGATGAATCTATTTCCATTTGGGGAAAATTTTCTTTAGAAGGAATGCATCTGGGGACACTAGAATTTTCCCCATGCAAAGCCCAAGGGAGAGAGGGAGCCAGGGCTTAGGCCTTTGTAGTAAATATCTCCAGACCACACTAAATCCAATCTTCTCATTTGGGGTTATTTGCTTTCCGGACGGCAAGGCTGTGATGGATCCCAGATTCAGCACTCGTGGCATCTCAATCAGCTGTGTTTAGATGCTGCTGTGACACAAGATTATGACGTTTTGATGGGATTAGGAGATAACTTTGCTTTAATCTATAAAGCCCTGTATGCTTTGGGATCTGATTACCCCGGCAATTCCCTTCCTCGGCCCTAGCAATTAAGATTAGCCAGAATGCTCCTGTTAATGATCCCCATATTGAAAACTCAGGAAATCAGAAATGGGTGGTTTTGTTTTGAGTTGTTTTTTCTGGTTTTGTTCTCCCTTTTCCTTTTCTGTGGAAGGCTCTGGGCTCTCTCTAAGGCTCTTGTCTTCACATCCTAGTGGGTTGTCTGTTTTATTTCCTTCTCTGTTTTCTAAAGAAGCCATCTTTGGGAGGCCTCCTTTGTGTTCTTATTTCATTAGGAAAAGTTTGCTTCTGTTTTATTCAATCAGTGGTCCTTGTGCTTGGTACAATTTGTCTCAGCAGTGATGAGTGAATTTTTAAATCCATCCAAGAAATGATAGAGCATAAACTTGCAAAGACTATTTAACAAAACTCCTGTGGCTAAGGAAGTTTCATGGGTCCACCCTGACCACATTGGCCCCAGTTCGTATTTTCCAGAGAGATCTGCTCCCAGAATCTTTAAACTGCAGGAATTTATGGTCTGTGGTCAAACTATTGTTAAGTTTGCCCACTCTCTTATTTCTACTGAAATACAGTTGCATAAATACAGTACAAAAAACAACCATTGGAAGGTGCAGGTTTAATCTGTTATCATTTAAACTAGGTGTATATGAGAGGCAATTAGGTCACTGTGCTGCATATTCTAGCTGACCACTCCAGCTCAAGCCTAAACCTCAACTTCCACCCCGGAAGGCTGTCCTACAAGGTCAACAGGAACAGGATACCTTGTCTTCAGAATTCCAGTTGTGTTTGACCAATGGAAGCCATTCACAGGGAATAGGAAGGAGGAAGAAGGGAGATATCAGAGTGTTTATTCCCTCGGTTGTCTCTCTGCTGGGTCTGGGACGGGCAATGACTAAGACAACGTATCTTGTCTAGAAGCCCTTTCCTGTGGCTACTGCTCTGGTTCTGGTAATGTCTGCCTCCCTATACTAATCTCTTCTGGCCTAGAGTAGGTAACACTTCAGACTATCGCCAATCCCAGGTTGTTTCACTAGGCATATGGACTTCCTTTCACCCTGCCCACATTTTTGCAAGTGTTCCCTTAATTAAATTTTCTTCCATTTCTCTTGTGGAGTGAGCCTCCTCTCTCCTACCAGAACCCTGACCAATAGCAGCATTGTGGTTGGCAGCTTGGTTTCAGGAAAACTTTAAACCTAGGGGCTCCATCCCTTCCTTGATACAAGAACTTGGCAAGTGATGTCACATTGCTGAACCTCAGTTACCTCTTCTATAAAATATGCACAAAAATAATACTAAGTTTACAGGATTGTTGTGCTGTTTAAGTGAAATAAAAGGCAGTAGTGTATGGCACACAGTAGTCATTCAATAAATGTCAGATTCCCTCTACAGCTTTCCATACCCAACACCCCTTTCTCATTAGGCCTGTTGCCCATTCATTTAAGTCTTCCCTTCTCTGAACAAGTTTTTTCTCTAGTAACTGATATGATGATGACAAGCTGGAACCATTGAGTAGCATATGGTGAAAAATGAGGCAAAAAAGAGAGACAGTGCATCATGGGTCATCCAGAGGGCCGTTGATTGCCCACTGACTTTTGCTAACAGACTAAATATGAGACCTGGCAAAATAACAATAGTGATTATTTATTGAATATAGCTCTTCCCAAACTGAGCCTATCATTCCTTCTCAATGTAACCACAGCACCCTGTGCATTGCCAAACTTAGCACATATTACAGTGGATTGTGATGTCTATTTTTTGTTTCATCTACTGTCTTCACTAAACTTTCAGATAGTGTGGCCTGGGATTTGTCTTCTTCTAAATATTCAGTGCTTAGCATAGAGCAGTGGACATTCATGAAGGTGCTCATAAACCCTGTTAAGAGAATGAATGAATGAATAAACAGATGATAGACAGAGATACTGCAGTTGACTTGAAAGATAGGTGGTATGGGAAGGCTTCACCAAAGAGATGTAGGCCAGACACAGTGGCCTACACCTGTAATCCCAGCACTTTGGGAGGTCAAGGCAGGGGGATCACTTAAACTCAGTAGTTTGAGACCAGCCTGGGCAACATAGCAAGACATCAGCTCTACATAAAAGAAAAAAAAAATCCCCTATCTCAGCATCCCAAGTAGCTGGGAGCACAGGCATGGTGGGATCGCTTGGGCCCAGGAGGTCAAGGCTGCAGTGAGTTGTGATTGTGCCACTGCACTCCAGCCTGGACAACAGAACAAGACTCAAAAATTAAAAATAGGCTGGGCGCGGTGGCTCAGGCCTGTAATCTCAGCACTTTGGGAGGCCAAGGTGGGCAGATCACGAGGTCAGGAGATCAAGGCCTTCCTGGCTAACATGGTGAAACCCCATTTCTACTAAAAGTACAACAAATTAGCCAGGTGTGATGGCACGTGCCTGTAGTCCCAGCTACTCGGGAGGCTGAGGCAGGAGAACCACTTGAACCCGGGAGGCAGAAGTTGCAGTGAGCTGAGATTCATCACTGCACCCCAGCCTGGGCAACAGAGCGAGACTCTTGTCTCCAAAAAATAATAATAATAATAATAAAACAAATATACAAACAAAGAGATGGCACTTAGCTTGGGCCTTAAAGATGAATAGTTTAAAATAGGAAGAAAGCAATTGAAGATATTCTAGGCAGAAGACATATAAGCAGTAGTGGGGGAGATGGAAACTCTTCTGAGCAGCATAGAGATTTTTGTGTATTAGAGTGGAAAGAAATGTGACTGGATATATATTAGTTAGGGCAATGCTAGTTTCTGTAATAAACAAATCCTCAAATCTCATTGGGTCACACCCATAAAGTATATTTTGAGCTTACATAAAATCCAAAACAACAAGTATTATTAATCAGCAGGCAGCTCACTTCCAAGAGGGGATTCCAGAACCAGGTTTCTTCTGTCCTGTGGATTTCGCATTGCCTAAAGTCACACAGAAGAAGAAAAAAAAAGCATGAAAGCATGGTGGACTCCATATGGACAATGTTTATGCGTGAACCATATGGTAAATGCCACTTCCACCTATATTCATTCTAGGGTCAGAACTCAGGCGCATGACCACACCTCCCTGCAGGGGGACTGGGAAGTGCAGTCTAGGTGGGTGGCCAGGAGGAAGAGAATATGGCTTTGGAGACACGCTGGTCAGACTCTCCCACAGATTGGTAAGGTTGGAAGAGATCCCAAAGAGCCTTGAGTACCAGGCTTGGTTCTACATATTGTGTGACTGGATCCCATCAACTAAGCCCACAGCTCCCACTGCCAAGTGGTGTTTCAGAAAACAGAAGCTGACCCAGGAAAACATGACCACAAGTAGAAAGGATGTCAGGGAAGGGCTGAGGAACATCCTGGGAAGATCCTAAGCCCGCAGAGGAGCAACACTTCTTTTGTGCATAACCTTGGCACCAGAAAGGGGCTTTCTCCAAACCCAGGCATTGTCAATTTTAAGTAGTTCTTGATTCTCACACAAAAGTCACTGCTGGCCCAATCTCTTCTCTGGCAGTAGAGCACATGGGGAAGGAAGGAAGGAGGGAGGGAGGGAAGGAAGGAAGGAAGGAAGGAAGGAAGGAAGGAAGGGAGGGAGGGAGGAAGAATAGAAGGAAAGAAGGGAGGGAGGAAGGGAGAAGTGAGAGGGAAGAAGGAAGGAAGAGAGGGAGGAAGGGAGGGAGGAAGGAAGGAGGGAGAGGAATGGAGGGAATATTATTATTTAAAAATGCTTGGAATTTGTAGTACCAGGGTTGGTCTCATTGCATTCTCTCCTTCTGATTATAGGACAACCTGGTTTTTAGGAGCCTAAGGGGTTTCCCAAGACCTGAGACTTTTAGTGGTAAACCTGGGAAAGTCCCAGGCAAACTTGGACAAGTTAGTCAACTTAGCTCTGACATCCGAGGAACATGGGTCCAAATTCTAGCTCTCCGCTTGGTAAATGTGTGCCTTTGGGCAAGTGACTACGTCTCTATGAGCTTCAGTTTCATCCTCTTTAACATATGGATGACAAAATGACCACCCCCCTGGGTTGGTGTGAGGATTGAATGAGATAATGCATGTAAAACACTTAGCAATGTGTCTGGCATATTGAATACACTTCATCGGTGTTGAATGGGGCTCTCTTCTTACTTTAAGTGGATCTTGGTTAAGCAGAGCCCCTGAGAGGTGAGGTTCTTCCTGGGAAGAAGAAGAGGCAGGGGTGTAGCCAAGGACAGAGGCCTTCCTCTCTGTTTGGGTCCTGGGGGGTTTCCGGGCAGGTGGTGCTCAGATGTACAGGGAATCCCAGCTGCACGTGGATGTCAGCTCTTGTCAGCAGGGAGATCAGGGCGAATGGGGCTCAGATGAGGAGAGAGGAAGGCAGCCTGCCCAAGAGTTTCTGATCCCAACTCTCACCACCAAGGGAGGAAAGCCGGGGCTGTGGGTGACATGATAAGAAGGCCCTGAGGAACGTTCAAAGTTCGCCCCTTCCTCCTACAGGAACCAAACTTTAACAGCCAGAGCCAGGGAGTGAAAGAGAAACCAGACAAGTGAGTCATTCGCCTTTAAACAGGCCACATTGTCTTCAGAAGCAGGCTTTGAAATTGTGCATGTGTAACCACAGTAGAGAGGGTTTGGGCCCCCTCTGTTCCTGCCTGAGGGTAAGCCAGAAAAAAGAGAAGAAATGAAAGGGAGGGGGAAAAGAAACTAAAGGAAAAAGATGGGACTAGGAGAAAGTCATGGGAGAGGCAAGAGAGGAAGAACTTTAGGACACAGGAATGAGCCAGCCATGCACTTCGATATTCCAGCAGGTCTCATGCTTCTCAAGGTTGTTGAGGACACTGACGATGCACAATGTTTTCTTGAGCAGTGCTCCGGGCCGTCATTCCTGTGCAGGATCATATTTCATCTTCATAGTCGACTTCCAACATTAGAGGTGAGGACACTGGGGCTCAGTGAGCCTAAGTAACTCATCCAAGGATACACAGCCAGTAAGTGGCAAAGCCAGAATTTAGACCCAATCTGTGATGTCTAATAATAATGTTGGAAATGTGACAACTATTAATAACTTCATCATCCAGGATGATATAAAGCCAAAAGGGAAGGATGAAACAATATGGGAATACCAAAGACAGAAAATACCGAATGTCCGGCCTAAAGCAGGATTTCTCAATATCTGCACTATTGACATTTTAGCTGGGCAGTTTTTGGCCGTGGGGGCCTGTCCTGCATGTGGTAGGACATTTGGCAGCATCCCTGCTCTCCCCGCACTAGATGCCGGTAGCAGACCCTCCCCCAAATGTGGCATGACAAACAGAAATGTCTCCAGACATTTTCAAGAATCTCCTGGGGACAAAGTCAACCCCTGTTAAGAACCATGGGCATACAGGAAGGTATAAAGAATAGTCATTAATATGCACAGGTGCAATGGCTTACCCCTGTAATCCCAGCACTTTGGGAGGCTGAGGTGGGCAGATTGCTTGAGCCCAGGAGTTTGAGACCAGCCTGGGCAACACAGCGAAACCCTGTCTCTACAAAAATATTTTTTATAAAATTTGCCAGGCATGGTGGCACATGCCTGTAGTCCCAGCTACTCCAGAGGCTGAGGTGGGAGGATCACTGGAGCCCAGGAGTTCAAAGCTGCTGTGAGCCATGATGGCACCACTGCACTCCAGCCTGTGCAACAGAGTAAGACCCCATTTGAGAAAAATAATAATAATTAATTAAAAATAAAATAAAAGTAGTAATGACTATGAATTGAGAGTCAACTAAGTGTCCTGTAAAAAGCACTTAATTTCATTTAACACCTCATTGAATCCCCTACAAGAACCCTATGAGGTCGGCTTAGTACTTCCATTTTCTAGATCCGGGACCTTACATAACACGCCCAAGTTCACACAGCTGGTAAGAGACAGAGCTGGGATTTAAACCCAGGTCTATACACGCCTTTCCCCTATACAGATCAGAGAGGGAAACTAAAGATGGGAAGGGAGTGAGCCCAGGAAAGAGACAAAGCATCCCAATGCCAGGTAGTCAGAAAAGACTCCGAAAATGCAGGGAGAGATCCACCATGTGGCCTGGTGATGTTACGCCATTGCCGGGACGAAGCCTTAATCTTTAAGCTGCCATATCACAGGCAGCCCCAGTTCTCCCCTCTGCCCCCTAACCCACCGCTTCCTGTGCAGTGTCCTGCACGTGAGTCCACCCTCTCTCTTCCCTCTCTCATATCTCATAAGAAGAGACAGTGTATTCTAAATGCTGTGATTTATGGGGAACAGCCACTTCCCGTGACCATCCATCTCTCTTCACAGGGACACATATGTTGGGGAGCATCTATCCCCATCATTTTCTGCCAGGAACCAATGGGCCGGGGAATTCAAGAAATGCCCCTAAATTACAAACGAGTGTGGGGGGACCTTCCTCTAGAAACCTTTTCCCCAAGCCTGAGCCTTGCTATAAATCACCCTGTAAGCATCACACACCGCCATAAACCGCAGATGTGTGGGGAATGGCAAGGTGAACATCCGCTAGCAAGAAAGCAAGCAAGGTTGACCAAGACCTTGGAGGGGGCGGCTGTTGGAGGAACTCACCCTGACCTTCCCCACTTCCAACATCCTTTCGCTGGATACTGTGTGGCTGTTACCTTTAGTGCGAGAAATAAATTTAACTCAAGATTCTTTTTTTTGGTGGGGGGGTAATCACCCACCCCACCTTTCCAACCTCTGCAAAACAGCATGAGCATTTGTTCTTAATCTTTCAGGGGGTGAAGGTTCCCTTTGAAAATCTGATGAAAGCTATGGACTCCTCCCTTCATTAAATAAATGATTGTTTACTTGTGTTAAAGGCTTCGAAAATGGTTAAGACTGGTTTATGGTGGTATTTCTAGGAAGATAAAGGGCTTTTATCCCCCGTCATATAAAAAAAAGCATGTTTTAATGTATTGACTTTTGGGGAAACGTTTACTGATGTATAACATGCATACAGAAAAGTGCACAAATCATAAATGTTCGGCGTAATGAATTTTCACAAACTGAACAAACTGGTGTAACCTGTGCCCAGATCTTGAAAGAGCATTCCTGTGCATCTGGATGCTTCCTTACAGCCCCTTCCAGTTTTGCCTGGTTTTCTTCTTTCTATAAATGGAATTATATAGCACGGTTCTTTGTGTGTAACTCTTTTAACTCACTGTTACATTGGCGAGAATTATCTGTGTCGTGGTGTCTAATTGTGTTTCATTTATTCTTATTAGCATATAGTTTTCTATTGTGAGACTATGTCACAACTTATCTTCACTCTAGTGTTGCAAGTCATTGGGGATGTGTTCATTTGTACGGAATTGTGTTGAGCTTATGTTCTTTAGAGTTGTAATTTTAACCTTTCCTATGTGTGAGTGTGTTTCATTTTCCCATTTATGTTAGGAATACATAGTAAATTCTTATTGCAAAAAAAAAAAAAAAATCTAGCATTCAGGGAAAAAAACAGGCAGTGAATTTCTCTCTGATTTCTTTTCGTCTCCCTCCCAACCCAATTAATTCAGTTTCACTGTTACTAGTTTTCTGGGCATCCTTCCAGACATTTCTCTGTGCATCTGTGCACTGATACATACAACATTCAATGTGATGCTTAATTTTGTTTTTACATAAATGCAATTGTTCTGCAATTTTTTTCACTTATCAATATGTCCTGTAGACCCTTCTGTAGATCATCCTCATTGCTTAAGACTGCTGAGCCTGCTTCCATTGCATGGGCGTGCCATGATTTATTTAACCAGTCTCCTACTGGTGGGTATTCAGGCTGTCTCCAGTTTTCTGCTGCTGCAAGCAGGGTGGCAGTGAACATCCTTTTATGTGCTTCTTTATGAGCATTGCAACTATTTCTCTTGGGGAGAAATGGAAAGGTGGAATTGCTGGGTGTACACATTTGCCTTTAAGTGGCTCTTATGAGGTCAAATAGATTGCCCGTACCACTGTGAATTCTGGGTACAGCCTGAAATTTAAGTGAAGGCATTTGGCATAAAGATCGAAATTCACTTGGGTTTTCAAAGATTCGACGGTTGCCTAGAATTGGGCAGAACAGAAGAGGAAGCTGTCTTAGCTTTCACTTAGTACAGTTTGCCAGCACCTCGACCCCACGGGATGCTGATGCTACACAGAGATTCCATAAGGGAAGAAAGTACTACCAGCAGATGGTAAGGAGAGTTGGAACTGGGACGTCTGAGACACAAGGGACGGCTCTTTGAGGACAACTAGAATAATCATGATAGTAACACAGCTAACATGCATTGAGTACTCACTATGTGTCAAGCACTGCTCAGGGATTGTCTAATTCAATTCCTACCATACTCCTATGGGAAAGTACTACACTGAGTCCCATTTTCCAGCTGGAAAAACTGAGGCTCCAATAAAGTCACCTGCTCAAAGTCACACTTATTCACTATGTGAATTAATTGCTTGGAGATTACACTATTGAGCAAGCTCAACATGGCTTTTTCCCCCAGGAAGCTCACTGTCTCCTGGTGGAAACAGACAAGCCACCAGGTGATTACAATGGAGCTCTGCTTGGAGCTGTGTTCAGCCAGAGCGGTGTGCCCTGCGGACTGCTTAGAAACATGACTGGAGACACAGGGAACCTAAAACCACTCCTATGAGGAAGATAAAACCTCTCTGGCTCTCTTGTCCTTCCATGTGTATCACACCTCAACACCCTGGCCAGGAAGGCAAACCTTAAAGCTAATTAATATTAACATCACGCAGCAGGCGCCAAGTGCATGCTAACTGCTTCACCCCATCAATTCTCACAGCAGGTTTTTTAGGAAACTGAGGCTCAGAGAGGAGAGGTGACTTGTCCAAGGGCCACAGTGAATAGGGAGAAGAGCCGGGATTTGAGTCTGGGTCTGTGTAATAATTCTGGAGCCTGGAACCTCTGAGCATGCAGACCCCACCTTCCTGCCCTTTAGACAGTCCCAGTCCAACATTCCTCAATCAAAAATATTCGAGGGCCAAATCCATCCGTGTGTGCTTTGGCAGTGGAGTACACTGAGAGCAGACGTCTGTCCTTTGGTTCCAACCCCAGTTTACAATCACCTCACTTAACAATTAAATATATAAAGTCACAGCCCATTGTCCTCATGTCAGATTAATGCATTACATCTTTCTCCTTTCGGATTGATGCCTCCAGACTTTCCGATGTGGAAACGACTGATTATTACAGTTTTTAGGCTTTTTTTTTTCTTTTAATTTTCAAGTCAGTGAACCAGGCAATCACCGACACTGCCCGTGCATTATGGGCCTAATTCTGCAGAGGTCTGACAAACCTGCCCAGAGACAGAAGATTAAGCTATTCCAAATTACCCAGACGGAGGCAAGCCCAGATTGGGCTCTCTGGGACAGAGGTGGGGGTGGGGGGACCTTTCATTTCTGCTCTTTGGAGACCTCCAAGACTAAACAGTTTAGGCCACATCTTGAAGAAAATTGCTTTATCCTTTCACCTTTAAGTGGATTCCGGTGCAATCAGTTGATTTGGGAGCACGTGGAGGTCAGCACACACACGCCAGGATGGGGGTGGGGGATTGTGGGCAGAGTCTCGGAAAGACAGGTGGCAAGTAAAATAAGGGAGGATGTAAAAGCTAGGGCGGCCGGTTTGTAACCTCTAACATCTGGTGCCAAATAGGAGGGTACTCGGGAAAGTATTCGAACCAGGGATGGGGGAGTGAAGTGGAGAAGGAGATCGGGCGGGGAAGACTTTCAAAGGTTGCAACTGTGACAAACCAGGATGCTAGCCCCTCTCAGATGTCGCAGGAGGAAGTGAAAGAGGGAGGGAAGAGGAAGAGAGAGGGAGGAAGAGGTCAGGTCTCCGATCCCCATAACTAGAGGACACTCAAATGCTTGCAGATGGGATGCAAGGAAGGGTAGAGGTGGAGAGTAAATTGCATCTGGCTGCCTGGGAGCACAGCACAGAGGAAACTGGTTTTACTCATGCTGGCAAAGCCCCCTTGCTGAGAGTATCTCCAACTCCAGCCAGCTGGTAGGGAGGAGCCCTAAAATCAGAAAAGCTCCCTCTACCCAGGTTCCTAGTCTTAGCTTCACTGCTCCTGGCTGGGCATGATTTCATGAACCCTCTCCCCTCATTGTGACGGTCCTGGCATCTGAAACTTGCATGCTGAGAAAAGATACCAAGGGAGAGATGCCCATGCTTTCTCAAGGCAGTAGGAAAAGTGTTTTGTCCTGGTCTGGCCTGAGTGAGAACCAGACATTGACTCAGATGGCCAATTTCTACATTGCTATTATTTGGGAGGCTCTAGATTTGGATCGTTCGAAAGCCTTTTATCATTCAGTTCCAGCAACCACATTCAAACCTCCTCACTCTGTTCTCCCAGCACAGTGAACAGTTTGCCTCCACCTTCCCCTTTTGCCACTTCTCTCTTTTTTCTTTTCTTTTCTTTTTTCTTTTAAATCATGATCAGGAAGTTTTCACAGGGACTTCCAATGCTTAAAAGACCAGAGACTAAACTTACATCAGCATCAGTTAGGATGCCTTCAGATACAATTAACAGAAAAGCCAGCTCACCTTGCATTAAACCTTGGAGATGTTTAATTTGGACATCTTCAGACATCTATAGACAGGCGGTTGCTTTCCAGGTTTGGGGCAGCCACTCCACTGGACATCAAGGTAAGCCCTCCCCATTCATCTACTCCCCCAAGCTCAACGCATTCACTTCCCTTCCTGTTCATCAACTCACGCCTTCAAAATGGTAGCCACAGCTCCAAGCATCATGAGCTCAGTCAGAGGTAGAAAGTCTAGGAGAGAGGCGAGGCCTTTTTCTAGGATCACTTTGTCCTTCGATCAATAAAAAAGCAACATTTCTAGAGTCATCATAGCCTCCATCCAAGTCTCATTGATTAGAATTGGGTCACAGGCTCACTTTTAGAGAACAGTCCAAAGCAGGGGCAAAATCTGTTTGTAAGAAATAAAGGGAATGGCTGCTGGGAGGATAATCACAGTATCTCCTCACCAGCTCACCCCCAGGTATTTTCTTTCAGTGTCCTAATCTGGTGAATGGTTCAGCAAGCAGCATCCACATCACCTATTAATCAAGCCATCTCTGGATCCTCCCTGTCCTTCACTCACTCCTTCCCCAAGTCCTGGCCTGTATACCCCTCTTTGACCCTCGAAAATCTCTCCTATGATACTGGACACACAGCAGGTACTCAATAAATGGCAATATTCATTTTGCTGCCCCTATAATCCTGCAGCTCTAGAACCAAATTAGCAAACTAGAAAATTTCCTTTGAGAAACTCAACTTTCTAGGCTCCAGTCATTATTTCAGAACCGACTACTGGTTAAATGAGCAGCTATTGGAATCATAAAACCTGGATTCAAATCTCTGCCCTGCTGTGCCTTAGTTATTATGGCCCTGGGCAGCCTGATAAGACACTCTGAACCCCAGTTTTCTCATCTATAAAAGGGAAATAATTATACTCCATACTTCCTAGGGTAGCTGTGATGGTGAAGTATGATGAGGCATCCAAGTACTTAGCACAGTGTCTGGTACATGGGAAGGGATGAGCAAATGCCTGCTACACTTGCTACCATTTCCCAAATGGTAAAACCCATTGTCAATGAGCTTCATCTTCCACTGCCCCACCAAATCACACTCACCTCAGGAACTTTTCTTCCATCCTGATTTCAATGGATGTTTCCCCCGCCCAACCCCATCCTCAGGACACAGGGCACTCTAGGAAGATTTAGAGAGCCACTGGCTTCCCCTTGCGAAGTGGAGATCATACCCCAGTCCTCACGAGTCCTGGGGCCAGGCTGAAGCCGCAGGAATTGGGTCTGACTTCTAGTGGTTTAGATGGAAATCAGGCAAGAGACTTCTCAGCAGCTTCTTTTATATTTATTTCTGGTCAGATCAAAGGTCCTGTCGGCAATCTGTCTTGACATCTTAATTCCTGTTTTTCTTAACTAATTTTTTTTCCCTGGATGGTGTTCACTCCAAATAAGCTACTGAAAGGCCCTCTGGGGGTAAGAGAGAGAGAGAGAGACTGAGTGGGAGGAATTTAGTTATGTCTTGCTATAAATAAGTGTATAGAATTATACAGATCTTGATGGCCGGAGATCAGTCACTTATTTCCACAGTAGGAAAAAGACAAGCTTGGGGTTATTTCCGGATTCCTAGTGGTGTTCAAACTCACAAGGACACCCAGTAAAGACTGGCTTGATAAAATTCTAACAGGGATCATTTATTGAAAGGGCGTATTAACTGTAATTAAGGACATGAAATTTGGAGTCTGCCATCCTGTAAATACCAGGTTGACCACTTACTAACTGTGTAACCTTGGAAAAGTGACCACACTGCTCTGCCTCAGTTTCCACATCTGTAAAATGGGGACAATAATAACCTCATGGACTTGTTAGGAAGATTAAATGAGTTGATAAATGTGAAGTGCTTAGAGCAGTGCCTGGCACACAGTCAGCAAATATGAGTTTATTAATATCTATTTAACAGGTATTGGGCATAGATTATTGTGTGTTCGATCCATACAACAGTCTTTCATGACAATGTTGCCATCTATAGACCTAATCCACTCATAAATCATTTTGCAAGAGAGGAACTAGAGAAGCAGAGAGACTTGAGTAATTTGGCTACAGGTACTAAGTAGCAGAATCGGAGTTCATAACCAGGTCTGCCTGATCGCCAGAAGAAGCTCTTCACACTCTGCCTCACCTGGTTAAGCAGGACCAGCTATGTCAGCAAGATAACCAGCAGGATGCCATCTCTTTACTGAGGGCAGATGGAGCAAGGCTCACCTTGCCTGCTTAACTTTGAAGGGGGTTACCCCAAGCACGCAAATGAGTTGCTTTAAGCAACTCACGGCCAAAGAAATGAATCACTCCTTGCCCGTCATCTCTAGCTCCCCGATGATGTTTGCAGGC
The DNA here is from genome assembly GCF_000001405.40 of Homo sapiens. Lineage (NCBI taxonomy): Eukaryota > Metazoa > Chordata > Mammalia > Primates > Hominidae > Homo > Homo sapiens. The sequence continues at coordinate 115,383,864 of NC_000012.12, forward strand.
AAGCTTCGGGCCTGTGTAAACGTGAAGTAGGTCAGGCCACAAGCCAAGTCTGCAAGTAGCACAAGGAGTGACTGATTGCACAGTCAGTGAAAGTTTTGGACAATTTACCAGTTCAGGAAAACTACACCTACAACAAACTGGTTGCACCACCTTGTTTAGAATGAGCATCCACTGCCTCTACCACTCACGGAAGTGCTGGAGTTGACATCTAGGAAAACATCAAGGCTCCTGGGGACTTAGGGAGAGGGCACGCTGGTATATTTACATGTTCCTTGATAAAAATACAGCCCAAAAGACATGTTTACCACTGAACTTCAAAACCATTCCGAAGATACCAGTCACTCTTCTACTACAGTCAAAGTAGACCTTTGAAGACTTCTCAGAGAATTTAAAATCTTGAAGGGCCTCAGTGTTCTCTCTGGGGATGTCAAAGATATTTGTCAGAACTGGACAGGGCAATGATGAAGCAGCCTGGGATGCCTTCCTATACCCAGCAAAAAAAAAAAAAAAAAAAAAAAAGGCTTTGTTTTTTTTTCTTTCTTTTCTTTCCCTAATTTCTTATATGAGCATATTCCCCGTGATTCATTTTTTCCCTCTTAAGAGGTTTCTTTGGCCACCTGTGTTCCTGTGGAAATAGCAGCAATGCACACTTATTGAGCAAGCCCTATAGCTAAAAAAAAGTGTGAATCCCTTTGTATGATGTGTCATCCCCTTTACATTCACAACATTCCAGGCCAGGTGAGGTGTCTCACACCCGTAATTCCAGCCCTTTGGGAGGCCAAGGTGGGAGGATCACTTGAGGCCAGGAGTTTTGAGGCCACTCTAGGCAACAAATCAAGATGTTATCTCTACAAAAAGTACAAAAATTAGCCAGGCACGGTGTCATGTGTCTGTAGTCCCAGCTACGCAGGAAGATCGCTTGAGTACAGAAAGTCAAGACTGTAGTGAGCTATGATCCCATCACTGCACTCCAGCCTGGGCGACAGAGTCAGATCCTATCTCTTTAAAAAAAGAAAAATGAGCAATATACCTGTGAGTTGGTACTAATAGGTAATTGTGCCCATTTTACAAATCAAAATGCCAAGGCACTTGCCCAGTGTCAACTCACTGCATGAATGGAGGTGCTAGGTTTGGAATCAACATCTATCTCCAAAGCCCATATTCCTACCCTCTGCTATCCTGTCTCCTAACACTTTATTCAGATCTGTTTTTAAAAGTGCCTAACACAATATATATGATAATTTTTCCTGTTATGTGTCTGTTTCATTTGGTAACAGTAAAGTTAATGCTAACCACCATGTATTAAATAAGCACTTACATATATCAGGTACTGTGCAGGTGAATGTATACGCATTTTCTCTGATCCTGCTGACAGTCCTGTGAGTTGGGTGTCAGGTGCTCCATTATACAGATGAGCAAACAAGTTCAGAGAGGTTAAGTGTGTGGCCCCAGGCTAAGGAGCTCGTGAGCGGTAGAGCCAGTTTCATGAATCAGGTTTGATGGGCCCAAAGCCCATGTGCTTTGTCCTGTGCCTTAGCAACTCCCACTGGCTGTCAGCTTATCAAGGGCCGGGCTGGCATTTTATGTTCTTAGTGTCTCTGCAACCCAGCAAAGTGTCTGGCTGTGAACTAGGTGAACTGCAAAAAAAAAAAAAAAAAAAGTAGAATCAAGGGACCAAGTCAGTCATCCCAGTGCTCTGCTAAATATAGAGTTTAAAGTACAAGCTGGTGCAAGAACAAAGGAAAAAAAAGATGTTTATTTTTTAATGGATCAATTAGAGAAAGTTGAAAATAAGGAGTTATGCTCATCTCTTATATGCAAATGACTGAGTCCTGGATATGTATTGGAGCCCAGCAAATACGTGTTGAATGAATACACTCATATAAAGAGATCAACACTCAGATATTTAGTAGGCATCTCAAACTTGCTATTTCCACAACTATACTGATTATCGTCCCTGCATAACCACTCCTTCTGCCATCTACCCCATTTCCATAATTGCAAACTCTATCCTTCTCATCATCCTCAACTCCTCTTTCTCTCATGCCACGTGAATCCAGCAGCAAGTCCTGCCTGCTCTACTTTCAGGGTATCGCCCGAAATCTGACCACGTCTCACCTCTCCCAAGGCTACCTCCCTGGTCCAAGCCACCATCACCTCTCACTCGGGATGTGGCACCAACCTTCTTACTGGTCACTCTGTGGCATCCCGTACTCTCCACTTCACAGCCAGAGGGATCCTGTTACATCCTAAACCAGACCATGTCACTACTCTATTCAAAATGAGCAGCATGCTCCAACCTCATGACATTTGCACTACAGCCCCGTCTGCTTGGAATTCTCTGCTACAGAAATCTGCAAGGCATACTCCCTCATTCCCTTCCTTCAGGCCACCGCTCTGCCATCTGTCACCTCCTCAGTGAGCCTTCTCTGAATACCCTTTATCAAATAGAACCCTCTCCACTACCCCAGCACCCAGCCTTCTCTATTTTCCTTCACCTGCTTTCTTTTTCCCCATAGTCATGTTCCATTTGTATCTATGTAACACCTATGATGTACCAGCACATAAACTTCACAAGGGCAGAAGTATGTCTGTCCCAGCGAAATCCTAGGCACCCAGAACAATTCTGGCAAGGAGTAAATATTTGCTGAATGAATGAATAGTTTCTCTTTGCTCTGGAACATGTAAGGATTAGTCCAGAAGGGTACACTATTACTGAGATCAAAGTTGTTCCATAGAACTTTCCAGAATGATGGAAATGGTCTACATCTGCTTTATTCATCCAATACAATAGCTACCAGTCGCTATGTGGCTAGGAGCACTTGAAATGTATGTAGGACAACTGAGGAATTAAATTTTTTAAAAATTCATAGACCACTTTTTAGAGCAGTTTTAGGTTTACAGAAACACTGAGCAGAAAGTACAGAGAAAAGACAGTATTTTTTATTTTATTTTGTTTTAGTTTATTTAAATAGCCATATGTGGCTAGTGGCTACCATATTGGACAGAAGTGACTTAGACTGAGACTAAGAAGGAAGGCTCCTGCCTCCCTCACCGCTGTGTGTGCATCAGTCCCAGGAGGGAGCCTGTGGAAGGCCTGCCACGTTTTTCCTCCTAAGGACTCACCAGGGCCCCAAAGGCGGAGTCAGCCTTCCAAGCAGAGAAGTTTGCAGATCAACCTCTAGGAAAGAAGAAAGCAGACAGTGCAGCACAGAGAATCTTCATTGAAGATGTGCCAGTTGCTAAGGGAGGCCCCTGGCCAACTCACGTACATGTACGTCTTCTGATGAATGAGCCTTAGTGGGCCCCGTCTAACTCATCTTCTTCGCACATCCTCACCCCCTTCCACTCCTTTATGCTCTTCCTTTCATCTCTCCTCATCATCCCTGGGGCCCAAAATTGTTTCCTGTGCTTTACAGCTGGACTAAGGGACACCTTGGGCCCTTCTGCTCAAATCTGGCTTTTGGTTTCCATAACAACTAGTAAAGCACACAGCACTAAATACAACAAAGATTTCTCTCTCTCTCTCTCTCTCTCTCTATCTATATATAAATATATATATAAATATAGATAAAGAGTGCACACATCTATATATATTCACACACATATATACAGCACACACATGAATGAATGCAGACATACACACACACACACACACACACGTATATTCACTCACATATTTAAGGGTAAAGTGCAAGAAGGGTAGGAGGACTGAAGTCCAAAAAAGAAAGTAAATAAACCTTGACAACAAATAGAGACCATTCTAGGGAAGAGCAAAGGGACATGGAGCTGCCTATAATTAGCAGCCGCCACATCCCAAAACAAAATCAGACGTTCAGGCCTTGCAGCTTTGTTGCCATAGAAATGGGGCCCAAGATCCATCAGGCTGTCTTCCTAAAGCGATTCCGTCCCTGACCATGCCCACATCAAAGGGAGCCTCCCCAAGTTTCTTTGTGTTGTAGATGATACCCAGGACCCTACCATGTCTCCAAAGGGGGCAGGCAAGGAAAAGAAAAGACCTAGTAGAAAAAAATTCAGAAGTGTCTCAATCCAGACATGCTGGCTTCTCATGAGATACAGCAGGAGAAGGATTTAGCCAAGTAGCATCTTGGGGACTTTCTATCCTGTGGATGTGTTTACTGATTATTGGAGGCTGCCACTGGTCACTTTTTTTACATTTGTTTTTATTCTTTTTTCCTACACATTACAAACAAGCTTCCAGTCATATTGTCCTTACAGTTTTACTTCCTGTTTTTACCCATTTAATATTAGAAAGTAAATGTTGCCACATGTTACATATATTTTTGCATAACTGTCTCTATCAGTCAGGGTCCAGGCTACAGACAGATAGCAAACCAGTTATTTTAAGAGAGTGATGTGGTTTGGATTTCTCTTCCCGCCCTAATCTCATGTTGAATTGTAATCTCCAATGGTGGGGGTGGGGCTTCGTGGGAGGCGATTGGATCGTGGGAGTGGATTTCCCCCTTGCTGTTCTCGTGATAGCAAGTGAGTTCTCATGAGATCTGGTTGTTTCCAAGTGTGTAGCACCTCCCTCTTTACTCTCTTTCTCCTACTCCAGCCATGTAAGAGATGCTTGCTTCCACTTCACCTTCTGCTATGACTGTAAGTTTCCTGAGGCCTCCCCAGCCGTGTTACCTGTACATCCTGCAGAACCATGAGCCAATTAAACCTCTTTTCTTTATAAATTACCCAATCTCAGGTAGTTCTTTACAGCAATGCGAGAACAAACTAATACCAAGAGAGAATGTAACATAAGGAATTGTTAAGCAGGTAGTAGAGGAGAATCTTATGTATCATGTCAAAATTAATTTTACTATCTCCTGGAGGTGGCTAGCTCATTGACTGTCACCCCAAACTTTGCTAACTCACCAGTAGCAGGAGAAGGATAAAATTTTCTCTGCAATGTGAATCATCCTGCATGGCTTATTGATCAATCACAGTAAAGCGAAAAGACATATAAGGCATAATGAGCTATCACCAAGATAGCCACTTGAGAAGCAACGTCCACACCTATGACCAGAGAACAAAGGAAAGATGTTGGTACCATTAAACTTGATTTGTAAGGCTAAAGATAGGCACAGCACAGCAGAGACCCAGACTTCTGAAAATAAGGCACTATCTGGATGGTTTACTGAAATCCTTGAGGAAGCCCAGTGAGATTAGTTCTGATAGAGTGGAAAACGGCAAAGTAGATTTGGAAGCTGCTACTGAAATTAATCTTCTGATCAGGAAGAAGCAAGACTCTTCTTTTCCTCCAGGCTTCTCATTGTTTTTCACAGCCACCTACTGGCACACTTTTCACAGAGAAGTGGGTGCACAGTCTTATCCCCAGGATCACAAAGCCAAGCATAGAAGGATGGGATTGAAAACGAGAGGCAATAGCTCATCATTAAGTGGATGTTACACACTTTAACCAGTCCCCCATGTTGAACATTTAGGTTGTCTCTAACTCTTTGGTGTTATAAGTTGGGTTTCAGTAGGGGATCTTCTGCATCAACAAAATATTATTTCCTCGTAACGTATTCCCCAAAGTAGATTTAATTTGCTAAACATTATGGGCATTTTTAAGGTTCTTGATACCTATGACAAAAACGTTTCCCTTAAAACTATCAACTTCAGTTCTATCCATCACTAAGCATTCTGAATCTAAATCCATTATTGTGAAATTACTTTAATTTATTGATGCAATCCTTTCAGGTCCCCAAAACTTAACTGCCTTTCTCTGCTTATCATCAGCTCACAGTAAACATTTCTCATCTCTGAATCTGCATAATATGGTCACTCTTATTCATTTGCCACTCACTTCATTCTCTGTGATTCTGCTTTTCTTATTTCTCTAACTAGTCAGCCAAGCATACTGTTGTTAACAGAGAGGACTCTGAGGCAGACTACCGATTTCCATACTAGATTTCAATGTGTACTGGCTGTGTGACTGCAGGCAAGCAACTGATTCTCTCTAAGCCCCACTTTCTTGTCAGTATAATGAAAAGAAATAGTTCTATGTACTTCAGAGGATTATGAGGCTCAAATATGATAATGCAAGGAATCTGAGATATAGCATGATTTCAGTACATGATACCTATTGCTGTTGTAATTTTTGATATTATTCTTATTAGACAGTAAACTCATTGAGGGCAAGAATTATGTCTTAGAATTCTTTTCTATCTGTTTTCTTAACTTAGCAACCTTTAATTAGATTTTAAGAAACTGACACTCAGACTAAGTTAGCTTAAGCTTCCTTAAGCAATGAGGTTTTACCATAAAATTGAGGAATCGCAACAAATAAGAGGCAGCATGCAATTCTATGGGACCGTCAGTCCTTCTCTTATGGGTCATGTGTTTGCTCATCTCTGCTATATCACACTTTGATTTCTCTTCCCTTGACCACCAGGTTACTTTACACACTTGCTCCTTTTTCTGCATGCTATCAGCCATCAGGAGACATTGGGTCCAACCATGCCTGACCTTACAGACTCTTTGTCCTTAGTCCCATGTCTCTTAATTTAATTCCTGAAAAGAAAAAAAAAAAGATTGACTTGAGTTGTACCTATAAACTATCACTGGCCCAATCAGATAAGGCCAGGGATCACAGATCACCTGGCACAATTATGACTGCCTCAGTTCACTGCTTCAGGAGAGGTGGGAAAATGCTCTTCAGGAGTGCTAATTGACATGCCTACTTCCGTTATGCCTCATCCAGAACACCGAGGGAGCCAACACAGTTAGATTGCTTGGGAGTAGCTAAAAACAAAAAGAAGCAGGGCCTCTCAACAATCAGCACACAGATCTCAACAGCTGGCTTGGAGTCCCAGTGGAAGACCTGTCCTTGGCCACTGGCAGCAGGACCACCTGTCCCTACCCACCAGGGAGAGGACCACCTGCAGATGCCAGCAATAAGCCCACCAACCTGCAGACCCCGGCACCAAGCCCTCCCACCTGTGGGTCCAAGTACCAGGCACACTTTCCTGCCTGTGGCCCTCAGCAGACTTGTTCACCCAAAAACCCTGTTGGCGGCAAGTTTACCTGCAGAGGCCAGCAGCAGACCCACACATAGACCCAAGCACCAAGTCCATCTGCCCACCCACCTGTGGATCCTGGAAGTGGGCCCCTCTGTGGTCTCCACCAAATAGCTCACTCAGAATCTTTGGCCAGGCTGACTAATAAAGGGCCTTCCATGCCAGACTGTAAAGACTGAAAGAGGTGACTACTTCTTCAAATGCACAATAACAAACGCAAGGCTACAAGGATTACAAAGAATTAGGGAACTACAACACTACCATGGAAATAAAATAAGTCTCTAGTAACAAATGCTAAAGAAATGAATATCTAAAGAAATGAGAATGTCAGGTGCCTGATGAAAAATTCCAAATTGTTGTCCTAAATGAGCTTAGTGAACTGCAAGAGAACACAGATAGACAACTAAATAAAATCAGAAAAGCAATACATAAGCAAAATGAGAAGTTCAAAAAAGATAAAGAAATAATTAAAAGGAACCAAACAGAAATTCTGGAGCTAAATAATACACTGACTGAACTGAAAAAAATAAATACAGAACTTCAACTGTAAATGCAATCAAGTATTTGAGTTTAATCAGTGAACTCTAAGAGAAGTCATTTGAAATTATCCAAAGGAACAAAAAGCAAAAGAGTGAAAAGAGTGAAGAATAGCTATGGGACTTTGGGGACACTATCAAACCAAAAAAGAATATGGATTATTAGAGTCCCAAAAGAAGAAGAGAAAGAGAAGGAAAGTTTATTTAACTAGATTACGATAAAAAACTTCCTACATCTGGTGAGAGAAATAGGCATCCAGATTCATGAAGCCTAAAGAATTCCATATAGGCTAATCCTAAAGAGATCTACACAAGACACATTAAAATTAAATTATAAAAAATCAAAGACAGAGAGAGTTTTGAAAACAGCAAGAGGCTCATCATGTACAAGGAAATCTGCATGAGACTATCAGTGGATCCCTTAGCAGAAACCTTGCAGACCAAGAGACAGTGGAATGATATATTCAAAGTATTTTTTAAAAAACTGCAAAAAAGAATGCCATACCAAGATAAACTGTTGTTTAAAAGAGAAGGATTGATAAAGACTTTACCTGACAAACAAAAACTGAGGTTTATCGCTTCTAGACCTGCCATAAAAAAGTACTAAAAGAAGTTTCTTTAGTTGAAACAAAGGGAAGATTAACAGTAAGATAAAAGCATATGAAAGTATAAATTTCACTGGTAAAGGCAAACCTATAGAAAATGTAGGATAATATAATACTGTAATGATGGTGCCCAAATCAGTTTTTAAATTTTATATCCTCATATAAAATTTAAAGGACAAAATATTAAGAGTAACTATAGCTACCAAAAATTGTTAATGGATACACAATAGAAAAATAAGTAAATTATGACACCAATTATACAAAGTTGTAGCAGGGGGACAAAGTGTAGAGTTTTTATATGCAATTAAGGTTAAGTAGTTATCAGCTTAAAATAGACTGTTACAATTATAAGATGTTTTTTGCAAGCCTCATAGCAACCAAAATGAAAAAAAAAACTATTATAGATACAAAAAAGATAAAGAGAAAAGAATCAAAATATGTAGCTACAAAAACAAAATCATGAAAGAATATAGCAAGAGAGGAAGGGAGGAGCAAAAGACCCACAAAACAAACAGAAAACAACAAATTTGGTAAAGTTCCAGGATACAAAATCAATGTAAAAAACCAATAGTGCTTCCATACACTAACAATAAACTATTCAAAAAGAAATTAAGAAAACAATTCCATTTACAATAGTATAAAAATAATACTTAGGAATAAAGTTAACCAAGATGGTAAAAGACTCATACAGTGAGAACTATAAAACACAGATGAGATGAATTAAAGCCAACACAAAAAAATGGAAAAATATTCCAAATTTACAGATTGAAAGATTTGTTATTGTTAAAGTACCCACACTAACCAAAGTTATCTTCAGATTCAATGCCATCTCTATAAAAATTCCAATGGCATTTTCTTTCTATTTTTTTAATCAAAATAGAAAAACAATCCTAAAATTTACGGGGAACCACAAAAGATCCCAAATAACCAAAGCAATTTCGAGCAAGAAAAATAAAGCTGGAGACATCACAGTTCCTGATTTCAAAATATGTTACAAAACTACATTAATCTAAACAATATGATATTGGCATAAAAATAGATATATAACCAAATGGAATAGAATCAAAAGCCCAGAAATAAACCTATCATGTATGGTCAACTGATCTTTGACCAGGGTGTCAAAAATACACAATGGGGAAAGAACAGTTTCTTCAAGAAATAGTGCTGGGAAAACGGAATATCTACGTGCAAAAGAATAAAACTGGACCACGTTCATACAACATTCACAAAAATAGTCTTGAAATGATTAAAAATGTAGTCGTAAGACCTGAAACTCTAGAGGAAAAGATAGAGGAACAGTGTCTTGATATTGGTCTTGGCAATTATTGCTTTAATATGACACTAAAAGGCAACAAAAGCTCAAATACAAGTGGTGCTGTATCAAATGAGAAAGCTTCTACACAGCAAAGGAAGCAATCAACAAAATTAAAAGAAAGCAATCAACCAAATTACCTCTGGAATGGGAGAAAATATTTAGAAAACATGTTTGATGAAAGGCCAATAGCTCAATACCTAAGGAATGCTTACAAACTCTCTCTCCACACACACTCATATATAATATATATACACACATCCATAGAGACAGTGGAATGATATATATAATTTTTAAGTGGCAATGGAATTGCATATACATTTTACTAAAGAAGATACACAAATGACCCAGAGATACATGAAAAGATGCTCAACATCTCTAATCATCAGGGAAATAAACATCAAAACCACAATGAGCTATCACCTTACACCTGTTACATCTGTTTTGGCTATTAACCAAAACGGAAAAAAAGTACAAGTGTTGGCACGGATGTGGAGAAAAGAAAGCCCAGGTGTACTGTTGTTGGGAATGTAAATTGGTACAGCCACTATAGAAAACAGAATGGAGGTTCTTTAAGAAACAAAAAGTAGAACTACCATGTAATTTTTCAGTTGTCTTCTGAGTCTATGTCTAAAAAAATTTAAATCAGAATCTCAAAGAGATATCTACACTTCCATGTTCATTGAAGCATTATTTACAATAGCCAAGTCATGGAAGCAACCTCAATGTCCATCTATGAATGAATGGATGAAGAAAATGTTTTATTTTTACAAAATATTTTATATATATTCAAATATATATTAATATTATTTGGCCTTAATAAAGAAGAAAATACTGCTGTTTGCAACAACGTGGAAAAATCTGGCCCATCTACTTTACAATAGAATTAACATGTCAGTTGCTTGCTATTGAGTAAAACTGTATATTACCTGCACTACACAGTGTAGGTAATTTACAGGCTATCAAGAAGTAGGGGAAGAAACTTTATCTTTTTTGGTCACCATGATACTCCCCATTCCTAGCACAAGATTGAGCACATTGCTGATGAACATACCTATTGGGCAGAAGAATAAATAAACCAGTGAGTGAGTGAGTGAGTGAGTGAGTGAGTGAGTAATGGATGAATGGATGGATGGATGGATGGATGGATGGATGGATGGATGGGTGAATCAGTAAGGAACTATGAGTATTCCCTTTTGAGCAGCAGTGATTTAAAGTCTAGCCTGCTCACCCTCTCAGTTCTCAGGGTAATTTTTTGTTTTTCCAGAGCTGAGGCAAATAGTATCCAAACCAACGAACAGCTGTGATACTCACCAACGACCTCCCTAAATATAGATATCCTTTCAAAGGAAGAACTGAACTGAGGTCTCATAGCACTATAATCCTCTGATTTCATAATATGAAAAGAAATAAATGTGGTTTACATATGCTGGGGAAGCCAACAATAAATCACCCGGCAGGGAGAGAGGGTGCTTTTCCTCTTTCTCCCAAAACCAAGAGGAAGATAATGGAGGAGGAGGGTGAGAAGACAGAGGTAGAGGAACAGAGCAGGGAAAGAAGAGTGAGCAAGGAAGAAGAGAAAGATGAAAACCGGGGCCATTTTCTGAGCTTTCTAGACGTCATATGCTATACACATATTATGTCATTTATTTACTCAGCAAATACTTCTTGAGTCAGGCAGCCTCCTGTGGCACTGGGGACACAGCAGTGAATAAAATGAATATATTTCTGCTTCCATGGAGCTTATATTTTAGTAGGAAAACCTGACTTTGCTCCAGCAAGACCTGAACTCAGAAAGCTAGATTTTAAGTGCAGACTGTCAGCCTTCACACATGAGAAAACCAAGGTACAAAAAGTTTAGCAACTCGCTAGGGCAATTATCAAAGTCTTTACAAATGAGCTATGCGTAAGAAGAGAAAAAAATTGTGTGAATGCATAAATGAAGGAAAAATGCATTCATGTCCCTCCTTTCTAAACAGAATCTTACCTCCTTCAGGGCAAGGATCAAGCTCACTTTCCTGTATAGATCACACACACACACCACACACACACACACACACACACACACACACACACACAAACACATCTTGCAAATAATCTATCCCTGTTAAATCGACAATGTGATGGTAGGGAACTTCATATATTCCAAATAAATTCATGTCATTTTGGCTCTGACTTGGCTCCCCCAGGGAGATGAACAACTTTTCTCTGATCAAGCAATAGTCACACTCTTGATTGTTTGTAGATGAAATAATTAGCATCAGCAAAATGACATGGTGATTTACTTTGCACCCAGGCATTCTCCACGTGCTAATGAAATCTTTACACAGTATGTTAATTGGGCTCAGTAGCTAGGCAAATCCTGAAATGTCCTGCCCAAGGGAGGTGAAAACAACCCCATAGAGAAGATGAGATCAAAAGGCCAACATTCACATGAGCCTTCAAGCTCCCCAGACTGATCCAGTAGTTCTAATTCCCTTAAGAGACTCAAACCACCAACTTCTTCCTTCATTTCAATAGATGGTCCTGTTTGCCTCTGTATATATCTAATCTGTCATTGAATCCTACCCACTCGACCTCAAAAATATTCCTTGAAAGTGTCCAATTTTCCATGAATCTACTCTCACTTCCCAGTCTGAGCTACCATGGCATCTTACCCATATGGTCTCCCTACATTTGCCTTGCCCTTCCCATCCATCCTTCACACTGCAGCCAGATAGGCATATTAGAAAGCAAATTTGATTAAGCTCTGCACTTCCATTTTTTTTTAAATTTTATTTTATTTTAAGTTCCAGGATATAGGTGCAGGATGTGCAGGTTTGTTACATAGGTAAATATGCGCCACGGTGGTTTGCTGGACCTATCAACCCATCACCTAGGTATTAAGCCCTGCATGCATTAGTTATTTATCCTGATGCTCTTCCTCCCCTTCCCCCACCCTCACAGGTCCCAGTGTGTGTTGTTCCCCTTCCTGTGTCCATGTGTTCTCACTGTTCAGCTCTCACTTATAAGTGAGAAAATGTGGTGTTTGGTTTTCTGTTCCTGTGTTAGATTGCTGAGGATAATGGCTTCCAGCTTTTATCCCATTCCTTTTTATGGCTGCATAGTTTTCCATGGTGTGTACCACATTTTCTTTGTCCAGTCTATCACTGATGGGCATTTGGGTTGAGTCTACATTTTTGCTATTATTGACTCCCCAGAGTCCCCAAGATAAGAGCCAGAATCTCTTCCATGGCCCATATGGGACTGCAGGACATAACCTGGTCTTACCTTCCTGACTCAGTTCTCATCACCCTGTATTCATTCCATCACACTGGTCTTCCTCCATGTTCAGACTCTATTTTCTTTGCCTCCTACATGCATATGGTTCTCTGTGCCTGGAACACATTCTTGCTCACTCTTTGTATCAGTCAGCTATGCTGCATAACAAATCACCCACAAACTTAGCTTAAACAAAAACTAAAAGCAAAATACATTTATTATCTCAAAGTTTTTATGGCTCAGGAGTCTGGGCCTGACTTAGCTGGGTCTTCTGCTTTGGGTTTCTCAAAAGGCTGCAATCAGGTTGTCACCTAGGGCTGGAGTCTCATCTGAAAGCTCAGCTGTGGAAGGATCCACTTCTAAACAAATGGGCTCTTGACAGGATTCAGTTCCTCATGCACTGTTGGACTGAGAGCCCTCATTCCTTTCTGGCTGTTGGCTGGAGGCTACTCTCCATTCCCTGCCATGTAAGCTTCTCCAACATAGTTGTTTCATCTAAGCATGCAAACCAAGATGGCAACAGAGACAGTCTACTTGCAAGACAAAAGCTGCAGTCTTATGAAATGGCATCACAGAAGTGACACCATGTCACCTTGGCCTTATTCTGTTAGTTAGAGTAAGTCACAGGTCCCACCCACATTCAAGGAGACAGGATAACATGAGGTATCAGGAGGCAGGGATCACAGAGACCATCCTAAAGTCTGTCTGCCACATGTCCCATTAGCCTGACAAGAGAATTTTTTCCCTTGAATCTTTTCTGACATGTCACTGCCTTAGAGGAGCCTTCCCAACTAAAATTATTCCCACCTATTATATGCCCATGCAGTGGCCTGTATTTTCCTTCAATTATACCTGTGTACTTTTAATGACTTGCTTCATGGTTGTCTTCAGGTAACACATCTGTTTAGAGCTACATATCCAAAGTCTAGCTCAGAGAGTAACTTCCCTATTCTGAAGCTCAATGCGTGTATGAATGTGCTTTTGAATGAATGACCAAACAGAAGTATCCTGAGTGTCATGATCTGTTCAAACATTTGTCCTAAACTGTGCAACTTAAAAACTACCCAGACACTCACATATTGGCCCCCTCAGTATCTCTGCCTGACTTTGTCCTCCCTACTCCATTATTAATACTAGGGTGGAAGAATAAGATCCTGGAAAACTTTAGGAACATTCCAAAGTAGAATTAATCACCCCGGGAAACAGTCCCATGCTCCGTCTTAAAATGTATGCTCTTTCCTATTCAGTGATGTTGATACATCAATCCATACATTGAAAGGAACATTGAACCCATTGTTAACCTTCAATGTTAGATCAGGAAGAAGAGAGAAGCCAGGGTCATTCCTGAGCACCTGCCACATGCCAAGCACTATGCTATGTTAATACTTGTGAAATCTTTGGAGATAAGGACTTTTATCTCCATTTTTCAGATAGAAAAACAAGTTGAGAGGGGACTTGAATTTTGCAGTGGTGTGCTGGTAAACTTGATGGTGTGAGGGAGCTTGATTCTAGTCTTTGCTGATTTTCTCCATGCAGATATTCTCACCATGACCAATCTTAACCTACCGATGGCTTCACAACTAAGTCACGAAATTCTTGAAAGTTTTTCAGCTGATTCTTGCAAGCCCATGAGTGCTGGCTCCAGCTTACCATTAGACCTCTTTAGGAACAGGCCAGTGGTTAAGATTTTTTGTTTATGTTTTTGTTTTTCTTATCTCTCATCTTCTACCACATGGAGATGCCACTGAGATATTAAGCTCCTGGAGGTTGAGGGTTTGCCCAGCCCAGAGCCTTGCTAGAGAGTGATGCTCAGTAAATATTTGTTGTGTCAGTGTGACTGGAATTTTCAAGGGCAGTCCAGAAGGAGCCAGATCACCCCCTGGCGGGATCTAAACAGGGACACAGGACACTGCAGGGACAAACACCTAGTGATACTAGGGAGCTCCCTGGTGATGACCTAGGGGACAGACGCCTGTGGCAACGGCCTTCCTCTGGCTGAAGCAGCTGAGCAGGAAAGAAGAAAACCAGGAGATACCAGCTTGGTAGGGGATTGGCAAGTACACCGCTTGCCTTCCTGCCCTCCCAGCTCCTGCTGCCTCTGAACTGTTGCCTACCAGGTGGATTTGTGGACTTAGGATCTTGGGAGTCCCAGAGATAAGGCTGATGTCTCAGAAGTACTGGAGACACACCTGGAACCTTCTTACCTGCCCTAAAGCTCCAGAAACAATGAAGAAGGCTGGAGCTAAGGCAGATTTTGGAGAGCATTCATCTCTTTGTTTATTCATTCAGCGATCACATATCGAAGGTTATATACCAGACAGAGTGGAGTAATGATGTTAGGCAAAAGTAGTCCTTGCAGATATCTGCACTCCCATGTTTACTGCAGCATTATTCACAATAGCCAAGATATGGAATCCACCTAAGCATCCAACAACAGATGAATGGATCGGGAAAATGTGGCGCATATACACAATGAACTATTATTCAACCATAAAAAGCATGAAATCCTATCATTTGCAACAACATGGATGGAACTGGAGGACATTACGCTGAGTGAAATAAGCCAGACACAGAAAGACAAATATCATATGTTCTTACTTATATGTGGGAGCTAAAAAAAAAAAAAATTGATCTCATGGAGATAGAGAGTAAAATGATATTTGTCAAAGGCCGGGAAGGGTAGTGGGGAGGGGGAGAAAAAGAGGGCTGATTAATGGGTACAAAAATCCAGCTAGATAGAAGGAATAAGATCTGCAGTTTGGTAAACAATAGGGTAACTATAGTTAACAATAATTTATTGAATATTTTGAAATACCTCGAAGAGTGAAATTGGAATATCCCGAATACAAAAAATGATAAATGCTTGAGGTGACAGATATCTCAGTCACCCTGATTTGATCATTACACATTGTATGCGTGTGTCAAAATATCACATGTACCCCATAAATATATACAACTATTATGTATCCACAACACTTAAAAACAACAACAGGCCAACAGTAGTCCTTGCCTGCATGGAGTCTGCTATCTAGTAGGAAAGGGAGAAATAAAGTATAACATCAGGATATTTCTGACGCCTGCTAACCAAGGTAGGAAAGGAGAGGCATGAGAGAGGCATCTCAAAATCCAGTCTACAGTATCAGGGAAGGCTTCCTGGAGGAAGTGGTGTTCAAGGTGAAACCTAGAGTATTCAGCCCAATGAAAGGAAGGCATATGCCTATGTCACATCATCTAATTCTACATATCTAACCACCTTTCATCAGCCTTCTTTTTCTCTATCAGATAACAAAAAGTCTATTTTGTTACCAATTGTCTTACAGAAAACTGCCCAAAACATTGAGGCTTAAAGCAATAATCATCTTATTAGGCCTCATGCTTTTGTGAGTCAAGAATTGGAGCAGGACTCAGCTGGGTGGGCACTGAGTGGTATCAATGGAACTCATCAGTGTTAATTACCTGGAGAGTGGGCTGGTCTGGAGGGTCCAAGTCAGCTTCCCCTATATGTGACTGGTGACTTAGCAGGGATGGATGGAGGGCCAGGTTCAGCTGGGATTGTTGACTGCAAAGCTGCACATGGCCTCTCTGCGTGGCAGTCTCAGAGAGTCAGATTTTACGCAAAATGGTGAAGGGATCCCACAGACAAGTGTGAGCCCGAAACCTGACACGGCATCACTCTAACTGTATTCTATTGGCCAAGCAGTTACAGAATCTTCCCAGATCTGATGGAAAGGAACAGAGACACCACCTCCCCACTGGAGGAGCATTAAAGAATTTGCAGAGTGGTCATTTTGTTTGTTTGTTTGTTACTATACAACCACAAAAAGTTGCAAAAAAAAATAGAGAGACTGTTTTTTTACTGCACCCAGCTTCCCTCAGTGTTAATATCTTACATAATCATAGCGTATTGCCAAAAACAGGGAATTGACTGCAGTACTTTTTAACTCAGGAACAGACCATATTCAGACTTCACCAGTTTTTACATGTAATTGTGTGTGTGTGTATCGTATGCAGAGTTCCATGAAATTTTATCACATGTAAACACAGGTAACCATCATCACAGTCAAGATGTGGAACTATTTCATCACCATAAAGAACTTCCTTCATATGGGCAATTTTAATCCACCTCAAGGTCTAATATTGACAACAGAGATTCCTCAGTTTGAAGCCCAACATTGTTAAAAGCTGGATGAGGCTGGGCACAGTGGCTTATGCCTGTAATCCCAGCACTTTGGGAGGCCAAGGCGGGCAGATCACGAGGTCAGGAGATGGAGACAATCCTGGCTAACACGGTGAAACCCCATCTCTACTAAAAATACAAAAAATTATCCAGGCATAGTGGCACGCTCCTGTAGGGGGCTGCTCAGGGGGCTGAGGCAGGAGAATTGCTTGAACACAGGAGGCAGAGATCGTAGTGAGCCAAAATTGTGCCACTGCACTTCAGCCTGGGCGACAGAGCGAGACTCCATCAAAAAAAAAAAAAAAGCTGGATAATGCTGGATGATTCCATTGCAGATCCTCAGTTTCTTTATCTGTAAAATGGGTCAACAAGGAGAGGCTCCATAGAAACCAGAAAGCCCAAGTCACAGATCTAACTTATATTCTCAACTTCATACTTCATCTTTGTGAACACAAAGAAATAAGCTTCAGTTAATTTCAGCTCAGTTCATCAGTAAAATTGGAATACAACAACACACATGGTAAGAATGTAGTGAGGATAAAGGAAGACAATGTGTGCAAAACCCCAGCACAGTGCCTGCCAGAGACTCTTAAGAGTCTGTCCCCCATTCTCTTACATTTTTCAACTTACTTGTAATCCTGCCATCTTGAGGAGTTTGTATATTTACATACTAAGCTTTATGGTAATTGGCTTTGGTTAGTTGTTTGTGTAATTGGTTAGACACAATTCTGTATTGATTGTTAACATGATACTGTTTTTTAAAATTCATTTTTTAACCACTTCTAAATCAAACCATCCTTCTTCCCTTACTCTGAACAATAATAGATCATGCAGAAACTCAGCCCCTAAAAGAGTCTTAGCGTGATTAAAGAAAACCCAATGTGAAAAATCCAACCATCGGAGTTCCACACATCTTTAAGAAAGCCCCTATATTTAGTTCTGAGCCTTAGATGTCAAAATCTTCTGCTACCCTGAAACATCACCAAAGGAAATAAAATTAAAAAAAAAAAAAAAGGAAAATGGAAGCAATTTACCTCCCCAGGCAAAAGAGTGATTTTCCCCTTTCTTTTGATGCTGTCATTTTCTCATTCTCAAGAATTCCTTTTCAGTTCCTCAACATTTTCCTTCTCCTCTTAGGTAGTTCTAAGTCTGACTTCATTTCTGGAAAAGAGAATCACTGGGCCTGGATTCAACACAGAATTCGACCGAGGATCTACCCAAAGTATCTTGGCCTAAAAAGTCTTGAGGCTACTTTTTTTCTCTTGCCACAGTCTACTGCCTGTCTCTTCCCCAACCACATTTCTGGTACACCCCATATGTGTGTTTCTGGGGGTTTGCACACTTAGAAACGTGGCATTTATACAGTTTTACTTAGGGAGAATTTAAGTTGAAACAGCCCAACAGCATGACTTTCAAACAAAACAAAATACCAGCTTCTGAGAGTCTGCAATGCTACCCAGGCAATATTGGACAGAAATTAAATTACGACCATTTTGAAGGAAACATGAGGAGAACTCTTTGGTTTATCTATCCTTGAGAGAGCGTTGCTCCTCAGCTGGGTGAAATCTCTGGCCTCATTCCTAAAACATTGCAAACTTTGCTTTGTACATACTTGCTGAGGAAAGCACACAGGTGTCTGTCCTCTGCTCAGCCTAGAAGCAGCATTAAGTGGCAACGATCAGCCCCACACGTATCATGAATTGGACTCCCTGCATCAGTAGCTGGGGACATTAGTTCTGTTTTGACATGCCTGCTCAAATTCGAGGCCACTTCTTTTATTTTAAAGAAGGAAACAACCACACTCACCTTTACTCTGGAGACTTCTGGAAAGATGGGGTGACGCAATAAGATCTCTAAAATAGTGTCTCCAACTTTAATGTGCACATACATCTCTGGGGGGATCTTATTAAAATGTAGATTCTGATTCAGTGGCTCTGGGGTCTACCTTGAGATTCCTCATTTTACCTGGCTTCGAGATGACACTGGCGGCTACTGGTTAGGGACCACACTTTGAGGAGCAAGATTCTAAAGCACTTCAGTGATGAAGGATTGAGAAAAAAACGTTGAGGTCCCTTGTAAATCTTTTCTCCTTAGACATACTTCAGTAAAGCTTTAGAATCCATTGTAGCTTATTTCATAAGGCAGACTGCCTAAAAGTGAGCAACCAGTGAGCAATCAACCTGCAGTCTTCCAAGTTCTGAGGGCATCAAGTCTAAGAGTCAAACCCAGGCAGCAAGCTGAAGGGTTTTTCTTGTATGTGTCTGTCTTCTGTGGCTGCTGTGACAACTAATCACAGGCTTATTTGCATACGACCACAAAATTTTATTATCTTACAAGTTCTGGAAGTCAGAAATCTGAAAGTGGGTTACACCGGGCTAAAAATCAAGGCATTGGCATGACTGCAGCCACTCTGGAGGCTCTAGGGGAGAATCCACTTTTTGCCATTTCCAGTTTCTTGGGTCCTCTCACTTTCCTTGGCTTGTGGACTTTTTCTTGATTTTCAAAGCCAGCAGTGTAGCATTTTTCTCATCTCTCTCAGCCCTCTTTCCAGCATCACATCTCCTTCTCTGACTCTGACACTTCTGCTTCTCTCTTATCCTCTTCCTATCTCAAGGTTCTTATCTTCATCACACACACAAAGGCTCTTTTGTCATGTAAGATAACACAGTCACAGGTTTCGGGGATTAGGATGTGGACATAGTTGGGGGCCATTTTCGACCCACTATGTCTTATTTCCATTGGTGAATCCTGGTGGAATACTTTGCTCTAGACAGTGCTAGGGTATATACAGATCCTCTAAGAGGTCATCTTAAAGCTTTGACTTCAGGAGTCCTGAGAAATATCTTCCTAAAACTAAAAACTCCCCCAGAGACCAATTGATTTGATTTAAATCATGTGGCTGATTGTTTTCCGAACACAACAATATTTTCCATTCTATATGCTCTTCTACAATATGACCTTGCACCCTCCCATCCAGCGGTTGGGGTTTGTGTTCCCATCCTTTAGACCTGGGTGGGCTGTGACTGTTTCGACCAGTAGAGTCTAATAGAGTATGGCAGAAATTATATTGTGTAACTTCTAAGGTTTTGACCAGTAGAGTCTAATAGAGTATGGCAAAAGTTATATTGTGCAACTTCATAAAAAGCAATACCGCTTCTGCCCTGTCCACTAAGACACTTATGCTAGAACCTCAAAACACCATGTAAGAGTTCCAACTAACCCTGAGGCTGCCACACTAAGAGGAAGCCCAGGCCACATGGAGAGGCCATATGTAAGTGCTAAGCGATGGCATTTTTAAGTGATCCCAGTTCCTGTAAGTAAATCTGCCTTGCAGATTTCTGTAGCAGAGAATTCCAAGCAGAGGGGGCTGTAGTGCAAAGGTCACGAGGTTGGAGTGAGCTGTTCGTTTTGAACAGAGGAGTGCCATGGTCTGGTTTAGGATTTAACAGGTCCTGGGAGCTGGGATCACCTAGAAATCCCTTCGCTTAGCACCTACATATCCCAGCCATTGAATTATGTCCAGATTAGACCTTAGACATCTTGGAGCAGAGAACACCTGTCTGCACCTTCTATCAAAACTTCTGAGTCACAGAATCTGTTACCTAATGAAATGGTTGTTTATACCATTAAGTTTTTGGACACTTTGTTACACAGCAAAGATAACTGGAACAAAGTGGATCTCTTTGGAATGCAAATGTCTATCAGTATGAGAAATATAAACAATCAGAATTGCAGAGTATATATTCACTTGTTTATTTATTCACTTACTCTCTTACATCCCCGTTTATGAACACACGCATGCTCTCCTAATTTATTCACGTACTTATCCAAAAGCATGATAAATTCTCACTATGAACAGAGATACCCTCTGAGAGTTCACTTGGCAATGGGGATTCATTCATTCATTTCATAGATATTTATTGCCTGGGAAGTGTTCCTCAGAGATGTATCAAAATAGGAACAGACTTTCTTTCCTGCTTTGGTTGGAAAAATCCCAGGGAAGGCACCTCATTGGCTCTGTTGGATGGTGTGTCCAATGCTGTACCCATCACCCAGCCCAAGAGGGTGGGGAGCTAGCATGGACAGCCTCTATTCAAACCATATGTTTAGAGAGGAGGCAGGAGCAATTTATCAAAGGATCACCAGTCCCTGAAGAAGTGAGGGCGCTGCCAGGTCAAACAACGGCTGTCCCCTACGAAAGACCTGCCTTGCCTGTTCTCCATTGACATCATGCACCACCTTCGGCAGCTACTAGTGTTTATCCATCTGCTTTGGCTTTAACTACCAAACTCTAGAGGCATTTCTAATACTCGAAGCAGCAACTCGGATTTTTAAAAGCTGCTGCTTGTATCATTTACCGTAAGATCAGCCAGGCTGTAAAACAGCATCCGAGGCTTCCCAGAGGATGAGGGAGGACCAGAGGTAAAGAAACTCTTATTTCCCTAGGCAAGTCAAAATGTTAACCCTCTGATGACCCAACTCTCTGGTGCACCTCTGCTCTGCAGATTACATGAAAAGAAACCTATTCTATATCTCAGTCCAATGACATCATGGGAAATACCAGGAATTTTTTGGCTGCACACAAAATTCCTGTGAGATTCTTGGAAAATCTTACACAAAACTGTGAGTAACAGGGACTTAGTAACCTCAAGTCATCTTAATCAACACCAGGCGATAAAAGGAGAATATATTTTGAAACCAGGCAGATCTATATTTGAATCTCCTTGTTCTGCTATTTATCAGCTATGTGAACTTGGGCAAGTTACTTTTCTCTAAGGCTCACTCTTTCCATCTTTAAAATGGGCATTATGATGCTCACTTCAACAGTTTCCAAGGGCTGATATGAAAGAATTAAATCAGTTAATGGATGGAAATGTGTGTCACAAGGTCTTGCACGCATCTCGGTTATTATGATTGTGTTGTTGCTATCACTTTTGCTAAGTCATAAAGCTGCACGTCTTTTCTGACATGGGATTTAGGGGTATCCCAGGAACAGAAAAGAAGGCTGTATGATGCGAGAAAAATCAAAGAACAAAATGATATATTGTATATCTAAATATGGAAGTAAAAACAATAAAGCTTCTAGAAAACACTATAGGAGAGTTTTTTTTTTTAATTTTTATTCAGGCAGGGAATGATTTCTTAAACAAAAACAAAAGACAGTCCCCAAAAATCAAATTTAAAGGAAATATATGTGTGTGTGTGTGTGTGTGTGTGTGTGTGTGTGTGTGTGTGTATGTGTATATAAAATACGAATTTCTGTTCACAAAGACACACTATTAAAACAGTGAAAAGTCAAGTAACAGAAAAGAAAAAGATACTTGCAACACTTATCACCTAGTAAAGGCTCATTTTCAGAATATGTAAACAGCTTCAGAAATCAGTAAGAAAAAGAGAGATAACCCAATTTTAAAAAAATGGGCAGAAGATTCAAACAGGCATTTCATAAAAGATCTCCAAAAGTATGGCAAACATATAAACTGTTGGTCAGCCTCAATAATAATCATAGTAATGCTAGTTACAGCCTCAATGAGATACTACTACCCAATTACCAGAACTACTATAAATTCAAAATACAGACAATACCAAGTGCTGCCAAGTATGTGGAACAACCTGAACTCTTACACATTGATGGTAAGAATATAATTTGGTACAAACACTTTTGAAAACATTTTGACATACATAAAAATATAAATGCATGCTTTAACTGAGCAATTCCCTTCCTAGGTACATACCTAACAGAAATGAGTGTACCAAGAGAGGGAAAAGAATATTCATAATGATACTATTCACATTAACCCGCAAATAAATCAAATACCCCTCAACAGAAGAATCAATCAATAATCATATCATCATACAACAAAATGACATTCAATGATAAACAAACAAAAGCTTCAGACACAACAGAAAGGAAGCTCACATACACAGTGTTCGGGAAAATAAATCAACCACAAAAGAATGCATTTTATTTATATTAAGTGAAAAAGCAGACAAAACTGTTGTTAAAAATCCAGAAAGAGGCCACTTTTGGGGAAAGGTATGGATGAAGGATAACAATTTAGAGAGGGCAGGAGCGAGACTTCTAAGGAGCTAATAACATCTTAGGTCTTGATCTGGGCAAACGTTTGCAATTTCTTTGAGCCATTCATTTAAGTTTCCTGTTGTGTTTTTTCTGTAGGTACAGTATAATTCATAAGACAGTTTAAAAAAAAAAAATCAGAAGGCCTGCCTTGTACCCGCCTTGTACCACCCACTTCAATGGGCCACAACCTCCCTGTAGCCAAAGCCCCAAGCGCTGTTTACCTTAGGATTGGAAGGATATGTACTCGAGGCTCCATCACCAGACCTCCCTCCTTGGGCTCAGCAAGTCTGCTACATCCAGTTGGCCTCAGGCCAGCTTCCTCCACTCCTGGGGTCTTTTGTGCTCCTCAGGTGGAGGTGATCTCCCAGCATGCTCTGCACGGCTCAGTCGGAGGCCGGGGGGCCTGGGTTTTGTTTCCTCAGTGTCACCCGTCCCTGTGGGCTTCTTCAAATGAATCCCTGGAGGACAGAGAAATGAGAGAGTATTAAAAATGTCAGAGACAGATCCTGAGATACACAGCTGGGTAAATAGAGCTGGTGGAGATGTTGTTATTAGTGGCTTTCTGGTCATGCTCACTTAAGTTATGGATGTAAGGTGGGGGTGGAGGAGAAGAGGCATGAGGGTCTTCTACCCATTTCCAGACCTGCTCAGTCCCAATCATCCAGCACCCTCAGATGTGGGGGCACTCTCTCAGTTCTGAGGGGACTCACCATGTTAGGAAATTGTATACCTGTTCATTATGCCTCTGCAGAGAATTTTCCCTCCTGGTGACAGAAACATAGAGGGCCTTTTCTCTTGGATTTCTCTAGGAAGCCTCACCCCACCTGGGGAAGAACTGATGCCACATCGTTTCTCTGGCAAAACCTGGTCAGTTTCATATGAGAAGTAGGAAAGGGGGTGGTATTTTTGAGAAGTAGAGGATGGAAACTTCTCTGATCTATTGTCTCATGGTCAATGTTCTACCAAGTCACCAGAAATGAAAGCCATCCCTACCACTGTAATGCCCAAAGCAATCATTTTGTGAATACTCATTATGTGCCTCAGAGACCAGAGTTGAAATTCAGGCTTACCAACTTGTTGTTACTTGCCCTTGGGAAAATTATTTAGGCTTCTGTTTCCACATCTCTAAAATATAAATAAAATAGTACCCACTTCATAATGCTATGGTGAGGGATAAATGAACACATCCCTGGAAAGCAGTTGGCACAGTACCAGGCACACAGTAAGCCCTCAATAAATGTTAGTTACTATCAATGGTAGAACACCTCTTCCCAGAAAGCATAATATCTGTGTTGTACCAAAAGACAG
Organism: Homo sapiens; assembly: GCF_000001405.40. Taxonomy (NCBI): domain Eukaryota; kingdom Metazoa; phylum Chordata; class Mammalia; order Primates; family Hominidae; genus Homo; species Homo sapiens. Next base: position 115,408,182 of record NC_000012.12, read on the forward strand.
GAGTGATATGAATAGTATAGTGTGGTCTTATTTTTATTACTGCATAATAATCTACTCCCAAATGTAGTAGTGTCTGGGCTCAGTGGTTCACACCTGTAATCTCCAGCAGTTTCTGAGGGGAAGGTGGAAGGATTGCTTGAGCCCAGGCATTTGAGATCAGCCTGGGCAATAAGTGGACTCCATCTCTAAAAAATTTCTTTTAAAAATAGTCAGGTGTGGTACCGGCTACTCTGGAGGCTGGGGTAGGGATTATCGCTTTAGCCTGGGAAGTCAAGGCTACAGTGAGCTGTGATCGCACCACTGCATTCCAGCCTGGGTGACACAGAGTGAGACCCTGTCAAAAAAAAAAAAACAATGTAGTAGCATAAAACAATGGTCATCTCATGTATTCTGTGAGTCAAAAATTTGGACAAGGCACAGAGGAACTGGGTGAGCTCTACTCCACTATGTCTAGAGTCAAGCGGGAAAACTTTAAAACAGCTGGGACTAGAAAACCTACTTTCAAGTGTCTGGTGCCTTGACAGGGATGGCTGGAAGGCTGGATGCAGGAGGGATTGTCAGCTGACATAGCTCCCAGTAGCCTACCCACTGTGGCAGCCTAGGGGTAGTTAGATGTCTCACCTGGTGGCTCAGTGGTGCCCCAGCAAGTAAGGCACAAGTGGCATTGCCTTTTATGACCTAACCCTGGAAGGTTGCATTGCCTTTTACGACCTAACCCTGGAAGTCACATAGTATCACTTCTGCCATACTTCATTGATGAAAGCAATCAAAAGCCCACCTAGATTCAATCGGAAGGGTCATAGACTCTATTTTCTATTTTCCCATGAGAAGAGTGTCAAAAGATTTATGACTTTTTTTTTTTTTTTTTGTAAATGACCACAGGATTTACTCTGTGCCAGGTCCTGAGCTATATTCTTACTATATATGATTGCATGTGTTCTTCACAAGGAGCTAATGAAGTCAGAATTATTACTTTCATTTTCTAACATGTACATAAGGAAACTGAGGTGCCAAGTGGTTTCTTGCCCAAAGTCAAACAGCTAGTTATTTGACCCCCCATGTGTTGGTACCATGTTGTCTGACTTCAGAGTCAATGTTCTCATTAGCCCTATAGTATTGAATCCCTCCCAAAATAAACAGATAGATAGATAAAAGAAGACAGTTAGCTAGACAGACAGAGAGATAGATATAGATATATAGGTAGATGATACATTATAGGTATGTAGATAGATGATAGATAGATAGATAGATAGATAGATAGATAGATAGATAGACAGACAGACATAGATGCCAAGCCTAAGTTAAGTTGAAACCCAAATTCTTAAGGTATTGCAGGATCTTTGCAAATCTGAATCTATACCAGCTCTCTGAGCAAGGAGAATTCTTAGGAAACTAAAATAACACAAATATACCTGAGAACACTGACAAAGGCCTCCTAGGTGGTGTCTACAAGATGCTGAACATCTGGTTACTTCCAAATATTTGGATGATGGACTAGCAGATTTCATCCAACTTTCCTTGCATTTGTTTGATAAACACAGCTGGCTTGAAAATTAGTCGTGGAATCTTAATAGTGGTAGAATCCTTAGATATTTTCTCATCTAAACCCCTCTTTATACAAATGCAAGTAAATGTACACTCATAGAGAGGAAGGGTTCCGAGAAAGTTACCTACCAAGTGGCTTTGACATCCTTATTTCAACATGACTTGAATAAAATCTATTCTGATTTAAATAAGATATATCTCAGGATCCAAAAGTCTACTTCCTGGGAAAATCTTACACAGATCTGTATGGTGGTAGTGGTGGAAAGGAGCTGGAAACAACGTAGGTATCCACCTGTGATGGCTAATATGACGTGTCAACTTCATTAGATTGAAGGATGCAAAGTATTGTTCCTGAGTGTGTCAGTGAGAGTGTTGCCAAAGGAGATTAACATTTAACTCAGTGCACTGGGAGAGGCAGACCCACCCTCAATCTGGGTGGGCACCATCTAATCAGCTGCCAAAGAGGCCAGAATAAAAGCAGGCAGAGGAAGATGGAAGAACTAGACTTGCTGTGTCTTCTGGCCTCCATCTTTCTCCCATGCTGGATGCTTCCTGCCCTTGAACATCGGACTCCAAGTTCCTCAGCTTTTGGACCCTTGAACTTAAACCAGTGGTTTGCCAGGGGCTCTCAGGCCTTCAGCCACAGACTGAAGCTGCACTGTCGGCTTCTCTACTTTGGGGGTTTTGGGACTCAGACTGGCTTCCTTCTCCTCAGCTTGCAGATGGCCTATTATGGGACTTCACCTTGTGATCGTGTGAGTCAATACTCCTTAATAAACTCCCCTTTTTATATACATCTATCCTATTAGTCCTGTCCCTTTAGAGAACCCTGACTAATACACCAGCTCTATAGGAATGATGCAGAAGCTGTAAAGAATGTGTAGCATGAAACTCTATGCATTAGTTGGAAATAAATACACACACACATGCACAAAAGATAAACACATATATTTTAATATATGCATTCAGCAACAAGGAGAGGTCTTAAAAACATGATGTTGAATAAAAAAATTCAAGTGGAAAGTAAGGTGTATAGCTCGATAACTTTTATGTAAATCAAGCACATGCACAAAACCATACTGTATGTTTTAGAAGGAAAAGTACTTAAGGGCATATTTCAGACATGTAAAGGAGAATGCATTCAGATGCTTTCAGTGAGTGAAGGAGAGAGATGGGAGTGGGACTGGGATGAAAGAGGGAACTACAACAGATACAATGCAATGCAATACCATATAAAACAACAGAACACAACGTAATAAAATGAGGTAAGGGCGGTACTTTGCATGTTAAGATGATAAGATGATAACATGTTATCAAATGAGAAGCACCTCTACTCTGCAGATTAGATTAAAAAAATCTATCCTATATCTCAGTCCAATGACATCGTGGGAAATAGCAGGAATTTTTTGGCTGCACACAACACTCCTGCTTTTGGTCAAAAGTTCATTGAATGAAGCTGAAGAGTGAAAGAAGCATGTCCTTTAAAAATCTTGTTTTCATCAGCGATAATGGGCTTAAGCCACATGTGAAATATGGCGCAGGTTTCACCTTTCAGGGCCTCCAGGAACCCGGTTTCCCTTTGCCTGTCTCCAGGATTTACATCTCAGCGGGTGATCACACTGTGGTCAGCTAGGGAGATCACTTTTCGGAAATGACAAATGAATTTCCATCTTCCGAAAGGAAAGGCCTTTTTTCCAGCCATCAGACATGCTTTCTGGTCGGTGCCATCCACCACCAATATCACAGAGAAAAATAAGTCATTTTCATTTTTAGCACTGTTTATGCTTTGTAAAATCTCTCACAATTATCACATAAATTGTAGGTGGATTAGCAATTATTGTCCCTGCAGAAAGCGAGTTAAAAAATAAAGGCACATCCAGTGATGTGCCCAAAGTCATACATGTGTCTTTCAAATCCCATCTGAGAGCTCTCTGATGTATTATTTCTCATGTAATATCTGTACTTCTACTATTACTATGAATAATAATTTCAATGATTGATTTATGCCTATGTGTCAAATACTTTACATGAAAGGTGTCATTGAACCCTCCTATGTTTGACATGCTATTCTATGCATTTGACAGACAAGAAAACTGCCGTATGGAGGTCAAGTAACTTGCCCAGGATAACAGCTAATACGTGGCAAGGCTGGTATTCAAACTGTGCTGTTCACTTCCAAAGCCTTGCCCTCTAACCACTGTACTTTGCTACCTAGATCGATAAATCCAATTATTTGTGTAATTTCTTACAGATATAAGCATCTTGTTAATTTATTCATGCATTCATTAAGTATTTATTTATTACCTGTTATGTGCCAGACACTGCGCTAGTCTCTCTAGTGAGGGATAGATGCATGGGTGACAGGAGGAATAGTCAAAGATCCAAATTCTAGAGTCAACATTATTTAAGCCTGGGTTCCCCAGAAAACAGGCTGAAACAGAGATATATGTGTTTTTACTTTGTTAGCAGATGTGATCCCAGGGAACAAATGAGAGCTGGAGGAGCAGAGTTGCTGGGGAGGGGTTGCAGGGGGAAGAGAGCTAATACAAGAATGTGTTGTTATTGAGTATGCCACCATGAAAGGACAGAACTATCCAAGAAGCCACTGGGAATGTGCCTCAGCTCGTCTGCCTTGGGAGAAGGAAAAGCAAGTTTTCATCTCCTGCTCACATCCCTTATTCATCAAAGGCTCATCCAAACAGGCATTAAATTCCCGCCATTTCCAGGTTACACACAGGTGGGTGAAGACTTGGTTCTCTGCTGAGTTCCAGACTGTGACAACAAAAGCAAAAACCTGGGGCCAGGAGCAAGAGGTATACAGAGTGAACCTGAGGTGGAACTCTGTGTATTGCCCCTGCGTGAAATCTGGTCAGACCCTGCATAGAACCAGACACCAAACAGCAGCTGGAATCAAAGACAGCCAAGGCAAGGGGATGGGCAGAGTGCATCAGAGGTCTCTGAATCAACCACTTACCCAGCTGAGTTCAAGAGCCAAATATTAAATAATAATTTTTATTATAGAAATAACTATATTCGTATGAGCATGGTACTTGCCACAAAGGACAAATAGATTGCAGACTCTATATGTGTACACATTATACAAAATGTTTTAATACATCTAGGCAACCTCACCAATCCTCACCGGGATCACATGAACCAAGTACGGAGATGAGTATGTTTCCATAGACAGATGAGGAGCAGAGCTGAGTGGTGACGTTGGTTGCTAGGGTTACCCAGATGAGTATGATGGATGAGCTGGGATTCAAACTCAGATCTCCAACTCCAGGGTTCTTTCCCTGGTATCTGAAAGTTTAGAATTCTTGTCCTATCCTATTTCAGGAAAAGACAGCTGGGTGAGAGGGAAGAACAGCTGCCATTAGCTTCATAAGAGATGAGTTTCTTGCCCCCCACTGCTACAGAAGGAAGGGAATGAATTCTTTGGTTCTAACTGGAAATAAAGAAAACTTAGCTAAAACATTGTGAGACAAAGAAAGAATATTTTTTCAATTTCATTCAGAAAGGGATTTAACCCATTCGGATATTCGTGACCAATTACTGTACGTGTGACTCTAAGTGAGTTACTTTTCTTCATGCCTCAGTTTTCTTACCTGTAAAATGGAAATGATAATAGCACCTAACTCAAAGGATTGCTGGAAGGATTTTTAAACAATCAGAACTGAACACAGCAGGTGATCCAGGAAATTAGCTCTTATTAGCATCATCTGTAGACTACTTTACCACCTGTGACTAGACTATTATTTATGCAGGTTATCTAAACAGTTTACATTATCCTATTTTCCTTCTCAAATACCTTTAGTAGTTGCATTCAAGGGCCTACAAAATAGGATCTTGTCTCCCTCTTCATTCTTTTTCAAAGCCTGTGTGCTGTTCCCCAAGCACACACTGCAGTTTCCTGCTTTCAGAATTCTACCCATACCCTGCCTTCCATATGGAATACTCTCTTATCCCCATTCATCCAACCACTCATTCAGTACTACTCAAAGCCATCTAGGAGACAAGCCCACGGCTTAGCCTTGGGGATATAACAGTTAGCAAGATAGGTATCTGCCCTAAGGCACTTTTGCCTTTTCTCTTAAGGCAGGTGAAAATTGTTTCTCTTCAGAGCCAACTCCAGTTCATTGTAGCTGGTTGGGCTGCCCTTAGCACTGTATTGAGGTGGATACACCACCTTCAGGCTCAGCTGTAAAGTGAGCTGTGGTGGTTTATGGATGTCTACCACGGGCGAAAGATATGGAGTAGGAACATCCCATTTGCCATTTCTGGTCAAGGGGAAATTTAACATCTTTTAGGGACTTTCTAAAATTCTACCTCTTCTATCGAAATGGACCACATTCATCTATTCCCACCCCCAACCAGTTATGCATTGACTCTCCATCTAGGCACTAGTAACTCGCCCCTATAAAAGCACCCATTTTAGCTTTATACACTTGACAGTGAGACCTTTGAAGACAGAGACCATTATTACTCATCCTTAATTCCCTGCCACCTAGCACAGTGCCTTAAATATGGTTAAGAATTATCTTCAGGACAGAAAAGTGAGGTTTCCTGGTTTTCTTTATGTTGTTATTGTTGGTAGTGGTGGTGATGGTGATGACGGTGGTGTTGGCAAAGATATGAAGGCCATTATTATTAACAAGGTCAATAGTGGTTGTGTTGATGGGTTAATGCTGGTGGTGGTGGTGATGGTCTTGCTCTTTGTGGTGGTGATGGACGTGGTGATAAAAATGGTGGTGGTAAAGGTAATGATGAAAGTAGTGTTTTGATAATGGTGGCTTTTTTCCTTCACATCCCCACAAATTTATTGAAATACGTTATCATATCGCATTAGAGGAACTGACCCCATGAATCTGAAATGATTTCCTCAATTCTCAAATCCATACATTAACAACATTTCAATACCTTTCACAGGTAGGCTGGTTTTCAGGCAATTTACACAAATCAAAAGAAAGAGGTGTAGAGGATAGTCATCATAAACCCAGATACATTGTTATACCTGAGGGTAATTTTTTTTTTGCAAAATATATTGTACCGTGAGTAATGGATTGTCCTGCTGTGCTTTCAAGGAAAGCATATGTTGTATACTGAGAGTTTAATTTGAAAACGCACTGCAGTAAACATGTTAACCCTAGTATCTCCATTAATCTTAACAACCACCCTGACAGTTAGGTCCTATTTTACTCATTTTGCAAATGAGCAAACTGTGGCTCAGAGAGACAGAGAGCCTGTGGTAGTGCTTAAAGGCTGGTGTGTCTGATTCCAATGCCCAGTCTAATTTCCTTGGGCTACAAGGTCTCAGAGGAACTTGGATCCTGGAAGTGAGAAGTGACCTATTTCAGATCTCCACTAGAATGTCCCTTGGTCCCAATGCTCATGGGCCACCAAGGCCATTCTCATTCTGACACAGCCTAAGACCTCTCCTTTCTGTCCCCGATGATCACAGGCCACACACCTGGAACAATATACTTGAGGCCCCCATCTGTGCCTCACAACAATATCTTTGCCTCTGTTTCCTGCGCTGATGAAGGCCCTGTGGGAAACACATCTATTGCTGCCCTGGTAGGCCCTGCATTTCCCTTTTCCTGTATCTCAGCCACTTCCTTATTTCCCAGTTGCTCCAGCATTTTACTCTACAGCCAAGCATGAGTGCCCACCTAAGCCAGATCCTAGACACATCCCCACCCTGCCAGTTGTGCATAACTGATCACAAAGCCCCCACCCTCTTAAAAGAATATTCAGATTCCAGTTTTACAGGATGGGCAGGGATCATCAAATCACATTTAAGTTCATCCTTCAGATGAACTTCACAGAATTCAACAGCATACCTGTCAGGTTAGGAACAACACATTTGGGAAATAAGCCACCATCCGAGACCTTCTGATCTCACGCATTTTTAACAAAGGCCATTTTGGAAAGTAATTTTGATATAGATAGTTCTTTGTACTTACCAAGACTCATTTGCTGCTGAGCATGTAAGATGTACAATGCATTAAAATAATGTAATTATTTTGTCTATACTATTAATATTTTCCATTTTAAATAACTTATTTTTAAATTACAAAGATGATTGTTATAAAATACAGGAGCATCGGAGAGAAAAAATTACACATAATTCTGTCACCCAGATATTGGTATAGTTGTATATAATTAATTACAAACTTGTAAACATAGCTATAGATACAAACATTTATTAGTGTCTTTTTCATAAAATTGGTATTGTACTCTTTATTCTGCCATCTGAATTTACTGTATCATGAATAACTTTTTATTACATTTAGAATTCTTCAGCAGCATACATTTTATTGGCTGCATATAATTTTATTGTAAGAATAAACTGTGATTTTTATAATCAGCCTCTTTACTCTTATGCATTTTAGTTGTTTCCATTTTTTTAACTGTTCTACACAACACTGCAATGAACTTCCTTGAGAGTAAACTGTTGTAGCCATCTGTGATTATTTAGCAAGACAAATTTCTAACTGAAGCATTCCTAGGTCAAAAGAAATGAACTTTTAGATTATAACTGCTTTCAAATTTATAACATTTAATAATTGGTACTTCCCACTAATTTTTATGACATGTAAAGTCTCACTGTTATTTCAGGTTAGTGAGATTTTATGACCTATTTTCATAATTATCAGTGTAATAAAGCAAGTTTTCCCTTCAACTACTTTTCATCTACTTTTCTTTTGCCCTTGTAGATCATCCTTGCCCAAGAAAAAAATCCTCCTCCCTTTGAGAAAGTACATACAAAGTTTATTTTTTTAAAAAAACTGAAAAAAGTATGAGAAAATAATGTTCATTAAATGTCTATCTATAGGTGTTTGTGACATTTATTCTCTGTATGTATTTTTCTGTGTGCTTGAGTTATTACATGGCTAAAAGGAAAAGGAAAAGAAGTGTTAATAAAAATAGTGGGGGCACCAAAGAGAGAATGAACATTTCTCCTTGAGAAGAGCTTAAAAGAATCCATAGAAAAAGAGAGCCTTTATCTGAGCCTTGGAAAAATTGGGGAGGTGTGCGCCCAGCTAACAGGATGGGTGAGGAACAAGGTGCTTCAAGCAGAGGAAGCAGCCTGAGCGAAGGCAGGGTGTGTGAAATGGTATGGCACAGCCAGGAAAACCATGGGGACTCCTGGGCCTACCTGTTATAAACACATTACTTATCTTCTCTGCTTCTCAGTTTCCCTCTCTCTAAAATGGGGCTAATACAACTACAAGCCTCCCAGGGTTATTGTCTTGATCCAATTGTGCTGCTATACCAAAATACCACAGACTAGGTCATTATAAGAAACAGAAGCTTATTCCTCACAGTTCTGGGGGCTGGGAAGTCCTAGATCAAGCAGGCAGTTTTGGTGTCTGGTGAGAACCCTATTTCCTCTTCCAAGATGGCACCTCACTGCTGCATCTTCCAAAAAGGATGAATGCTATGTCTTCACATGGCAAAGGATGGAAGGGCCACAAGGTGTTTCTTTCAACCTTGACCCCTTTTATAAGGATGCTAATCTCATTCATGGTGACTTAATCACCTGCCAAAGGCCACACCTAATACTCTTGCACTGGGGATTAAGTTTCAACATAAATTTTAGAGGGGACACCATCATTGAAACCATGGTAGTTATCATGAAGATTCTGTGGGATAAGCACCTATCACAGCACCTGGCAGTTGGTAAGTACTCAAAAATTATGAGCTATGAAAAAGATAAACTTCAACATGGTGAGCACATAGTGTACAAGTGGGGTAGGCAGGAAGAAAGAGAAAAGACACAATTCATTCATTTATGCATCCATTCATTCAAAGTTGACAGAGTAGGGGATACAGCTTTAAACATCATGCTACCCTGTCCTCAAAGCATATCAGTCTACATGGGTAGAGAGAAAGGTACAATCCCTTCAATATTGGGATAAATATGCGTGTTCACATGAAGAGGTGTGGTCTCCAATCTGGAGGGAGCATCCAAATGCCTTTACATAGCTTGTAAGACCCTTTCTTGTATTCGCAGAAAATGTTTGGTGTGTGTAATGTTTGGTAGACATGTTGCAATAGTGATAAATGTCACTCCAACCCAGGGTTACCCATCCCCACTAGGGAGATATCATTCCAGGTAATAGCTGGTAACAGATCACAGCAGACTGAAGGACAGTATAGTGCAGTGATTAGAAACACAGACTCTGGAGCCAGACTGTCTAGATTCAAGTCATATAATCAAAGCACATATTTATATCCAACCTCATATTGTATAGCTGTTGGGAGGATTAAGTGAGTAAATATTTGTAAATTACCTAGGGCACAGCTTAGAATGTAAGTGCTTTACTATTATTATGTCTTACCAAATCTTAATATTTGATAATCATTAGATGAATGAATTAATGATGAACTCTTTTAAGCCAAAGAGTGACAGGATGCACTCAATATTTCAGAAAGAGCCAACTTTCCTTATCATTCCTCTGGAAATTGGCTGAACCTCTCTTTGGAGGAATTTACCTATGGATGAATTCAGCAGGGCTACTAAAGATTACATTCTCTTCAGTCCCAGCAGTTTTCTGGTCTTTCTCCTTCACACCAGGACCTCTATACCACCTAAGAAACATTCTTAGATGAATACCCTGAGGTTGGAATTGTGCAAGGGAAAGGACTTGGCTTACACAGCTTAGTAAGTGATGGGAAGTATTGCTTTAGAACTAATTTATGTAGGAACAAGAACCACTTACCTTTTAGAAGTGCCTTGTTTCCTTTGATCCTGACAATAACCCTGAAAGAGGAGTCTAATCAGCCCCATTCTTCAGATGAGGAAAATTGGATGCCAAGAAATTGGGTGAATTCTAAAAATGTTGAATTGTGTTATAGTTAAGATCAAGGGTGTAAGAATCAAAATGCAGTGAGAATCCCATTTTAGCTCTTTGCCAGGGCAACCTTGGACAAATTACTGAAATTGCCTAAACTTCAGTTTCCTCATCTGTTAAATATAGACAGTGATTGTTCTTGTGTTTTGGGATTCTTGTTATGAGCTTATAAAAAGAGCACTTAGTGCCTGGCATACAGTAAATGGGAGATGTGACTATTTCTGCTCAGACTCCTGTAAAATTGTTCATCTAGCCTCAGCCCATTTAGTTGTGTTGAGTGAAAAAAAATGCACAGGCAAAGCAGAGGTCAATGTTTCCAGAGTAAAAATAGAATATCTCTGCCCATGAAAGATAAACCCAATCTTTAGGAACATAAAATGGAAACATGGAGAAGGAGCTAACGAGCCATTTTGCTGACTAAATGTTGTTGTTTCTCTAGACTGCCTATGAGATGTCCAGAGGTGCTAGAAGAATATTGCATACGGTTGTGAGTTCTTGCTTTTGCTAATTTTCCCCCACAAAGTTTTGGCTGAGGACGAAACAATGATTCACATCATAGCTTACCTCACTCAAAGAATCAAGAGAAAATATTGCAATTCAATCAACAAAGCCCATGCCCAAATAATCCACCTTCAGATACCCAAATGAGAACTTTAGAGCTTCTTAAAGCCACAAAGCCAAATTAGAACTCTGGTAAGTCAGTTACAATTTGGCTAAAGACCAAAGCCATCAAATCCAAGAGAGAATCCAGAAGAAAGAACAAGTCATTAGAGCAGGCACAGCTTTCAGACCAGTGAGCAGAAAGAGTAGCCACTGACCACTGGTTGGCTAAAATGCTGAGGAAAAAATGTGACTAAAAATTCTACAAAGCAACATTAACATCCAGTGGGGTCTAGAGTCCAGCCTGAAATGTCGGAACAATGGTAGCTTTCATTGACTTATATACTTATGTGAATACTTATGTGAATAGCTATATTTTAAGATTTCTAATTGAAGTAGTATAACATCCCAAAAGTAAAAAAAAATGAACAGATCATAAGTTTACAATTTGATAAATTTTCCAAAAGGAATACAACATAGAACAGACACATAGATTACCCAAAAACCACATTACCAGCCCCCGACAAGTCCCTCTCATCCCCCCTCCTATTATTAACACCTCCTCCCACAAGGTACCCCTTATCCTGACTTCCAAAATCATAGATTGGTTTTTACCTGTTTTCACACTTTATGTAATAGAATCATACACTATGTCATCTTTTGTCTTTGACTTTGTTTAGTCAACACTGTTTGTGATATTCACACGTGCTGTTGTGTGAATTGAAGATTATTCATGGTCATTGCGGTGTATTATTCCAGTGCATGAATCTACCATTGTTTATCTGTTCTACTCTAGATGGGCATCAGGGCAGTTCCCAGATTGGGCTACTATAAATAGTGCTACTATGAATATTCTGTTATATGTTTTTTAATGACCATATGAGCACATACATTTCCATGAGATTTTCCACGTTGGTGTGCAATTGTTGCATCGGAGAAAGACACATGTTCAACTTTAATAGATTCAGCCTGTTCTTTTATAGTGCCAATTTATTCCTGCACAAGAAAAATAGCTATGATGTTTTGAGCACTTACTATGTGTCCAGTATTTCACTGGGCCCATTACATGGGCCAACTTATTATATCCCTACAAACCTGAGAGTAGAATGACGTTAATACCCCCGTTTAAAAGACAAGGTAACTGAGTCCCTGGGAGGTGATATGGTCTGGCCAAGTTCACACAGAGAGTAACTGAAAGAACTGAGATATGACCCAAGGCCCAGCTGACCCCAAACCTCACACTTGCCGTTTTGCCAGTTATGGCAGCTTCTGTTTGGAGTGTGATATGGTTTAGGATAGAGTTTTGAATCATCACATATTGGAATACTCAAAAGAATGAATGGCTGTTTAATATCCATCTCCTCTGGCTGGATTACTTTTCACGCTGCTCACCCCACTTCATCTAGCTACCTTTATTTGCCCCCTCTCCAGATCTCAGAATAGATGCCACTGCCTCTGAGAAGCCTGCCCTGATGTTCCATGGCTAGGTGCTTCCTCTAGCCCCGAACTTCTTGCCATGACCCTTTATGCAAATTATTTTGCTGACCTCTTTAATGACATTTGATCTCATTAGAGTGCATACTCCACAAGGGAAGACTGAGTCTCCTTTGCACAAAGCATAGTACTTGGAAGAGAGCTGGCCTTCAATGAATATTTCTTGAATGAATGAATACTACTTTCTGGAACCCCATAGGCTCACAATCAAGAAAAAAAAAATAAAGAAAGAAGGAAAAGAGCATTTTAACTTGTAGTAGATGTTTAAGACTGGAGTAAAAACCAATAATGCATCAGTCTTCAGCACAGTGGGTCCCCTCAGGACTGCACGTAGGATCCTGTACAGCCTGGCATGTGTTTCCCTGAGGCTTGTAGTTCTGGGGATTTGGTCTGAAACACTCGCGTAGCTTCAGGATAACCACACTGGAACGTCTTTTCCTTCTTTGCCATGTAGACCTGCTCTGATTTCAGAAATGTTATTATGATGCTGAGTGAGAGGAAGATTAGAAGGAACTGAATGTGTCTTCCGTACCTTTGTGTGAACCAAGACCTTACGCATAGACTTAGCTCTAATATCAAGGCCACCTTGTAGGTCCTTTGGCAAGTTCTTTCTTTTATTCATCATTTTTGTCTACCCTTTGACTCCTCTAGCGGCCTGTAAGTCTTTGCAGGCAAGGTCTCTGTCTTGTTCATCATTATATCTGGCACCTGCCTTCATCTGTAGCCTTATCTCATGTCATTCTGCCCCATTCACTAACCTCAAGCCACGCAATTTTTTTTCTGCCTTGGGAGCTATGTATTTAGGCTCATTTCTGTCCCAGGTCTTTTGAGCTGTCTATTCTTTCTGCCTGGATGACTTTTTCTCTTTTCTACATGTGACTCAGCTGTTCTCATTTTCCAGGTTCAGATTATATGTTTCCCCCTTAGAGATGCCTTCCCTGGACACTATTTTTATTTATTCTCCTTTATTATTTTATTGTTTGATAATACAGCTGGGAAATGTTTTGCTTGTTTCTTTACATGTCTAACACCTGCCTCCCTATCTAGAAGTGAGTCCTTATAGAGGCTTAATCATATCTATCTTATTCCCTTATATTTCTTCCAGCTCCTAAAATCAGAAAACTCACTGAATGTCTGTTGAATGAATTGATATATTTCACAGCACTGAGCACAGAATCTAACACATAGTAGACAATCGATCAATGTTTGTTGAATGTATCAGAAATTCTAAGACAATCCCCCAACCCTCCACCCCCTCTCCAAAATAGCTTTCATTCATTCATCCAGTCGGTCAGCAAACATTAACTGAGCAAATACCAGGTACATGTACAGAGTCAACAATGCAGTATTCCTTATCTCAGCAGACAGAGAAGCCATTGAGTTGGTTGCTTCAGCACAAATCCTTGGTTTCATCCTTGATTCCTGTCTTTCTCAATGCACACCCAAACCATCAGCAAATCCTATTGATTCTCCCTTCAAAGTATACACAGAATCCTTCCGCATCCTATCACCTCTACCACGACCCCTCTGGCCCTGAGCGTCATGATCTCTCATCTGGACAATCACAACAGCCTCCTAGATGTTCTCTCTGCTTCTGCTTGTGCCCCGCTATGTTCTGTCCTTCACAAGGCAAGCAAGATGTCTGTTACAGTAATGTAAGCCGTATTATACCCTCACCCTGCTTAATGCCTCCAATGACCTGAGGTCAAATTACAATAAAACCCACACCATAGCTTGCAAAGCCCTATGGGATCCGTCCTTTGCTCACCTCCCTGACCCCATTACCTCACACCTTGCCCCTGCTTTCTCTGCTCCAGCCACACTGAACAACTTGCTCCTCCTCAGATACCCCAGGCACTTCTCACCTTTGCATTTTCTCTTCACTCTCTCCAGAATGCTTTCCCCTGAGAACTACATGGTTCTTTCCTTCACTTCAATCACATCTCTCTTGAAATGTCCAAAAATGGTCCCTGATTTTTGTTACTAAAACAGCCCCCGATCAGGATGCCTTGTCCTTATCCAACTTTATTTTTCATCTTAGCATTTAAAACTGCTTAACAAACTTGCTTGTGTCTCTACAACCTATTGGAAGCATCATGAGAGCAGAGTCTTTAAATGATTTATTCACTGTCACATTCCTCAGCACACAGAAGAGCTTTTTGCATGTAGTGGGCACTCAGTAAGTAGTTGTAAAGAGAGAGAAAAAAGAAAAGAAGGAAGAAAGAAAGGAAGGAGGAAGGGAGGAGAGAAGGAGGAAGGGAGGAGGGAAGGAGAGAGAGAAAGAGAGGGGAGAAAGAAAGGAGGGAGGGGGGGAGTCAGGAAAGAAGGAGGAATGGAAGGGAGGAAGGAAGGGAGAGGAAGGAGGGAGACAGGAAACAGGGAGGGAGGAAAGAGGGAGAAAGGAAAGAGGAAGGAAGAAAGGAAAAAAGGAAGAAATGAAAGTGGAGAGTAAAGAAGGAAGGAAAGAGGGAGGAAAAGGGAGGGAAGGAAGGAAGGAAGGAGGGAGAAAGGAAAGAAGGAGGGAGGGAGGAAAAAGAGGAGGAGGGAGGGAGAGAGAGAGGAAGGAAGGAAGGAAGGGAGGGAGGAAGGGAGGGAGGGAGTGGGGAGGGAGGCAGGGAGGAGTGAAGGACTGAAAAATGAGATGAATGAATAAATAGAGAAGTGAATGAATAAATGATTGAGACCCAGTCCCTGCCACCTACAAACTCCCAGGATAAGTCCCAGTTCAGCTCCCTCAGAAGTCCCCTAACCAGTCCAATGTAACCCACTTTGCCTGCACTCATCATTGAGGGAGCCCCTGCCCAGCACTGCCCTTCCTTTCTCCACATTTCCCCCTTTGTCCTCCTCCTCCCTCCCAACCCCACCTCTGCCTCCCATGTTACAGATTAAAAGCAACAGCCAAGCTGGCATTTACTGACTGTCAAACACCTCTCTTAGTTTCCTCAGAACAAACAGACTCAGCCTATGTTTTTGTTTGTTTTCTTCCTTTTTCTAAGCTGCTGAGCTGTCCCTGGAATTGTGCAAGAGGTCACACGGAGGGACTGTCAACAGCTCCCTAACGTAGGTTCCTACCCCAGAAAGGGGGTCCAGGTTTTACAGGCCCAAGCGCTTGGGCAGGAACACACACACACACACAGGCTGCTGTTTGTTTTCTCCGACAGGTCGGGCATTTCCCCCCTGGGAGAGAGGAAGCTTAAAACACAGAAGGCCCCCTTCTCTAATTAGACATGAGAAACAGTTTGGATAAGCAGAGGCATGTCACCCAACTGTACAATCCCTTCCTGGAGAGCAGGAGGGTTGAAGCCTTTCAGGGATATTTTTTTTCCACTTTGTTTTTAAATTTTAAAAGTTTTATAAAGAAACAT
Source organism: Homo sapiens (assembly GCF_000001405.40). Taxonomy (NCBI): domain Eukaryota; kingdom Metazoa; phylum Chordata; class Mammalia; order Primates; family Hominidae; genus Homo; species Homo sapiens. Next base: position 115,424,047 of record NC_000012.12, read on the forward strand.
TTCATATATTTTATATAATATAATGAAAGTCAAAAGTCCCTAATAAAACCTTTAACTCCATATCTCCCAAAAAAACAAGAGTTTGTTGTTCAATCATGCATTCATTGATCCATTCAACAAATATTTATGGAGTGCCTACTACACACCAGACACTGTTCTAGCTTTTTGGGAGTGCAAAAGCAAGTAAAAGCTGACCTTTCCAGAAAGTTTCTCTTTGCAGCCAAAAATTTAAAAATGATCTATTACAAACAGGGGAGAAACTGGTCACTTCTGTGTCATCCCACATAACCCTCGCAGAGTGATTGTACTAGACACACTGTTTGGGGCTTCATTTTCTTTATTTAAACATACATCTTGAGTTCTTTTCCATATCCGTTCATAAACTTCTACCTTGTGCATTTCAGAAGCTGCACAGTGCTCCATTGTTTAGCAGTACCATAACGTATGGAAAGTTTTCTGTAGTTGGATACTTGGGTTATTTCCAAGCTGATTTCTAGAAGTGAGATTGCTTGAAAGAAGGAAAGGGTTGAAAACCTGACAGATATTTGCAAAAGGAGTGAAAGACTTTGAAAAGTGAAGGGTTAACTTGGCATCTACCCTTAGCTTCACATGCTCCGTCCATCTCATCTTAAAAGTAAAGAGGGTTTTTCCTAAGACACCTGGGGAGTTGGAGAATTCACTGACATTTACTGAACATAAAGGTATGTCTAACCTTATGAAATCCTGATTCTCCCTTGTCTTGCTGGATGATAATTGTCTAGTTATATATTGGTTTCTACCATGAGACCATGGGCTTCTGGAAAGCCAGGGACTTATCTTTCTAGTGCCTAGAATAGAACTAGAGACAGGGAGAGTACTCAGTAAAAGCCTGCTGAAGGAATAATTAATTTGAAAGGAATGAATGAGGTATCTATCCGAAAGAAAAGAAATTATTACACCAGTACTTGAATGTTTATTGCAGCACTACTCATAATAGCAAAGATATGGAGTCAACCCAAGTGTCTGTCAATGGATGATTGGATAAAGAAAATGTAGCACATTATATATATACACACACATACACATATATATGATACTTTACCTATAGTACTATAATATATAGTACATATAATTATAACCTTTTAATATATAATATTACTATATATAATGTACTACATTATAATATATATAAAGTTATATATATATTATATATAAAGTAATACATACACACACACACCATGGCATACTACATAGCCATAAAAATAATGAAATCATGCCTTTTGCAGCAACACAGATGGAACCGGAGGCCATTATCTTAAGTGAAATAACTCAGAAGGAGAAAGTCAAATATCACATGCTCTCACTCATAAGTAGGAACTAAATAATGTGTATGCACGGGGACAGACAGTGGAATAATAGACACTGGAGTTGGGAATAGTGGGAGGGTAGGACTGTGGTGAGGAACAAAAAGTTATCTAATGGGTACAAGGTACACTATTGGTGTGATGGCTATACGGAAAGCCCAGACTTCACCACTACACAGTCTATCCATGTATCAAGAATTCACTTGTACTCCCTAAAGTTATAAAAGTACAAAAATAAATAAATAAATTTTAAAATGAGAAAAAAGAATGAATGAATAGACAGACTTTGGGTGGATAAATAGATAAATGGGTTGGTGGTTAGAAAAACAGAAGGATAGATGTATGTATAAATGCATGGATGGATGGATTTAAAGTAGATAGATAGGGCTGGGCATAGTGGCTCACACCTGCAATCCCAGCACTTTGGGAGGCTGAGGTGGGCAGGTCACTTGAGGCCAGGAGTTTGAGACCACTCTGGCCAATATGGCAAACCCCCATCTCTACCACAAATACAAAAAAAAAAAAAAATAGCCAGGCGTTGTGGCACATGACTGTAGTCCCAGCTACTCCAGAGGCTGAGGCAGGAGAATCACTTGAACCTAGAGGCAGAGGTTGCAGTGAGCTGAGATCATACACCACTGCTGCACTCCAGCCTGAGCAATAGAGTGAGACTCTATCTCAAAAAAAAAAAAAGTGAGTAGATAGCTGGGTAGATGGATAGATACTTAAACATATGGAGAAATAGATGAATGACTATACAGATAAAATGGTGAATGAATGAATGAGTGAATGAATGAATGAATGAACATACAAAGAAGTGAGTGCATGAGTAAGTTAATGAGTGAAAGGGTGGGTAGATAGACGGATGATGACCAACGGATACATTTACACAGTTAACAAATTATAAAGATGATTACTTAGCAAAATAATTAATAGATTATTATAGAATTTCCCATAAGATTCATTTTAATAATAAACTCCTTGGATACATTAAACATTATCATTCGATTTGCATGTTGCTTGTGAGAGACACACCAAATGTGATTAGTGAACCCAACTGCAACCCATTCTAGATCTTAGTGCTTAGTTCACCATGGGAGTCCAACAGATAGTAATTCATCAAGGTGATGAATAAGAAGGAAGAGGTTATGTGGCTCTCAGGGCACCAGGTGTGATGCCCCATTACCAACATCTGCCATCCAACATCTAGAACAGTGGGAATGTGATGCCAGGGACTCTTTGGGCCTGGAAAATCACTGCCTAAAATTGCCTCCTTCATAAATGCACATCCTCCTGTCCGGAGTGTTTAAATACCCAAGCCATCACCAAGGAATGAAAAAGCCCCACCTGTCTTCATAGGTGGCACATAGAGCCATCTTTCCAAAATCAACAGAGATTAACAAGTCACTCCACTTTCAATCAATGCATCACTAGACTTCTGTCCCAATTTGTCTGTCAAACCCTTTGACCTGACCAGGAGCCTCTGGGTCTCCTGATCCCTTGCCCCAGCCCTCAAAGGCCATCAGTTAAACAAACCACCTTGGGAGCCATCAGCACATCTTCCAAGGCAAACAAGCCTTGGCCCCAGTGAGGTCAGCAGCAAGAAGGGTGAGGCAATTAAGCCAGCATGTTTGTCTGAAACTGGTCTCCTGCTGCTGTTCTTGACAGACAGCCACTGGGGCAGTAATTGAATCCCCTGCTTCTGGGAAGAGGAGCAAGTAATATTCATCAAGCACCTGCTTTGTGCCAGGTATTATGCTGGGCTGTGGACAATGTCCCATTTTATCCTAAGAGGGGGCAATTTTCATATGAGAAAACAGGGGCTCAGAGAAGTGAAGTAGCTTACCCAAGGTCACATAGCTATCAAGTGGCAGACGGAGGATTTAAAGTTAGGTCTGCCTTTTGCTAAAGCGGTTTTAAAAAATATTTTGCAACTTGTGGCTGAAAGGATAAACAATGAGACTTGTCCTCCAGCTTGGTGTCCTTATGGTGGAAGTTTTAAATATTAATGCCTATAAATGCATTTTTTAATCAAAATAAGAAATATGTCAAAGAATGAGGTATTCCATTGCCCAGAGAAGAGAGAAGAGGAAATTAATCAGTTTTGATTGTCTCAATGGGCCAGGAACCCAAACCCTACCCTCATGGAGCTTTCAGTCTAGTAAGAAAAAGAGCTACCAAGCAAAGACTCAAACGAATATACCTGGAACTGCAAACGATGAAAGAAAAGTCCAACGGGCAATGCTGGTATGCAATGGGGGATCCTGAATGTTATCTAGGTTTCAAGGAGGGCTTCCAAGAGAAAGTAACATTTGAATTGAGACTGGAAACACAAGTGGGTATCAGTCAGATTAAAACAGGTAGAAAGATCATCTCAGACAGAGCATGAGCAAAAGCCCTGTGGCACAAAACATCATGTGGCACTTGAGGCAATGAAAAGAGGTTAGGGTGGCTGAATCAGAGAGAAAAGTCAATTAGGTGAGAAAAGACTGGGAGTTCTTTAGGCCCAGATCAAGGAGGGTCTAGCAGGCCATTGAAGTGGACAGAGAGATACACCTAGATCCCTCTTTAAGAAAAAATGTGCTCTGGCTGCTGAGAGCACTGTCAGCAGTTGGCCTTCATCAATCAACCCCTTCAAGGAGTCCCCCAGTAGCAGAGAGCAGCTTTGCAGCCACACCCCTTCTCAAAGAGACCCACATCCCATGAATGATTCATGTGGAAATATAAAGATCTGGCCATCCGAGTCCAATGAGGGACAATGCTGAAGAGCATTCTAGCTCCAAAGCTCCCCATGGGGCTGGCCAAGGCTGTTGTCAACTGCATCCCTGTTCACTTCTGTTCATACTCACTCCTGCTCCTTTCCCTGCCATTGCACAAGGATTTATGCCAAGAACATACCAGAAACATCTTGTGCACTAGACTCCATCTCAGTGTCTGCATTCAGGGGAACTCATAAAGCAAAGCCCGTGCTAAGGAGCTCAGCTTGCATCATAAGAGCAAAGAGACCCGAGGGAAGATTTAAAGAGAAGGTGGTGCAATCCCATTTTTATTTTCCAATGTAGAAATGGCTACTGTCCTGAGGTCTCCCACAATCAAGCATCTTAGAGCCTGGAATCTTCTTCAAATTGGTGCATGAAGGAGAGAGATGGCAGAGGGTATATGTATCCTGACTCTGAGTAACTCTTAAGGCCAAGCCCAGCCAAGCCAGACCCTGGACTTGTTGAGCACAGAGAAGTCCCTTACCCACTGTTGGGGACATGGAGCTAGGAGGTCACAAGGGGTCAACGAGGCTCACATCCAATTGTCCAGTCTTCTCTCAAGGTTGTTGTCCATCTAACCTTTCACATCTGGGCCAGATGAACCATCACCCACCCAGTCATGCAAAATCATGTTGATGTCCCCACCACCATGCTTCACCAGTTGGCCATGCTGTCTCTATTAGGAATGTATTGCAATCTATCTGTCCTGCTACCAGCTACCATAAGGACACCAGCTAACAGAGCACTTTCTACATGTCAAGCACTGTTCAAGAGTAGTTTTACATGAATTATAGACTATCACATTCATAAATTATGACATATTTCATAGAGCATTTTACATGAATTATCTCAGTTCTCAAATGACTCAGTGGCATAAGTACCATTGTTAGAGCTATTTTGCAGATGAGGAAACTGAGACTAGGGAAGCTTAAGTAACTTGCTCAAAGCCACACAGCCATTATACTAAGTGCACAAACTTTGATATAGATGCAGACATACTACTGGTCCCAGGGCCAAGACCCTCAGCCAATACACTTGGCTCCTCTTAGTTCTAATGCTCTTTTCTGGACTATTCCTCCACCCTCCTACCTTTCCCTCTCACTCATCTGTTTCTGTCCCCATCCCCCATCCTCCATATTGTTCTGGAACCCGCATTCTAAAGTTTAGAAAAGAAATATAATCTGAGTATGCCTCCCCTACTTAGCAATCCTTGACAAATAACCAAATATTGTGGAGGCATTAAAATAATACTTACAAATAATGTTTACTGACATGGGTAATGTTTTGGGATATATGTTGAAGGATATACTCTTTACAATGTGATCTGAACTATAGAATAACACAAATAGGAAGATAGTAATACCCTAGAACATTATGAGTGGTTGTGAGGTGTTCTGGAGTTAGGGAGTTAGAACACCCAGAATACAAGCTATCCCCAAAGTGGATGTCCAAAGATACAACATACACAAGGACTACGTATAATTTGAAAGTACTGAATTAATCCACAATACACATTAGATGGCTGAATGAAAAATGGATGGATGAATTGTTTAAAGCTAGATAGTGACAGGGTGTACTCAGCATTATAGAAAGAGCTGTCTATACTCACCATTCATCTAGGAAACTCTCTAAACCCTACTCTTTAAAGGAATTTGCCCATGGAGGTGTTCAACAGGTGAGTTCACACAGATCTTATTGAGCAGAAAATACCACTTATAAAAGGTAAAATAACAGTTTTGCTTTGGGTAAAAGAAAGGATATCAGGCCATTGATAGGAGGCCCTGAAGAACATCTAGGATTCCCAGCCTTTCTTGATTGACAGCTGCCAGACAGCATGTCCCCATGACAACAAGGGATATGGGGGAGCTGAGCCAGAAGCCTGCTTCTTTGCAGCCTTGGGCTCTGTTCTGGGCTCAAGAGCCCATGATGTGAGTGAGAATGTGGTTGTTCATGGGCAACACAACTTGTTAGTCAAACACGAGTCTGATGTAGTCATTGTCTGTAGAAACTTCTTTCCTATATTCTTTTGCACAAAACATTTCTGTGCCTGGCTCAAGGTTAGGTATTTCAGAATAATGTCTAAGATATGGCCCTTCTTCTCCAGAACCTCTGCTGAAGATGGGTCATCATTTCTGAAAAGATCATTTAAATAGACTATGGTAAGTGCAATTCATTTTTCAGACATTATCTCCAAATCCTCAGGAAAAGAGTAAATTCTATTTAGATAAAATTGGGATGCAAAATTGTTTGGCATATGGTAGGCATGCGATAATATTGAGTCAAGAAATTAGCTAACCATCTAGGGCAGAGACAGATTGTCTGCTCACCCAACTCACTTCTTATTCCTCTCGGGTAGACAATGAGATGGTATTTGCCAGCCTCTCTTGCAGTTTGGGGTAGCCATGTGACAGAGTCTGGCCAATGGGATTTGGCAGAAGTGGAAAGCGTCACATCCAGGTTTGGCCCATAAAAACTGCCCATGAGGTCCTCTTCCGGTAAAACAGAGAAACTGGGGCCTTAGAGGAAGGTAGAGTTACAAGATGGAGGGAACCTGGGTCTCTCAATTACCATGCAGAAGACATCCCACTAACTAGGACCACCCAATTGGCCTTTAGTGTGAGATGAATGAACTTCCACTGGGTAAAGCCACTCAAGTGTTGGGGTTATTTGTTACAGCAGCAAGCTTATCCTGCCTGAACCCATCCAAATCCCTCCCTACCCAAGGCCCACTTTAGGCCCAGAGCTAGCACAGGCAGAACCCTCATGTGAATCAAAAAAGACACCACTCCATCCCTGCTAACCCTGTCCTCTGTCTCTTCATTTTCCACCTAGACTGATATTGCCCCCAAACATTAAGCATTCTTGTATTACCTTCATGATTTTTGTAACATCTATGTACCACTTATACTATGATACTTGACGATTTTCTTTATGCCAACTCACTTTATTGTTAAATATATTTATTTCAAAAGGTAAACTCTATATTGCTACAGTAATTGGAAATTTATTTAGAGTAAAATCCTTTAAATAGAAAGTCACCTTAAACATAAAGACAGCCGGGCATGGTGACTCATGCCTTTAATCCCAGCCCTTTGGGAGGCTGAGGCGGGAGGATCGCTTCAGCCCAGGATTTTGAGACCTGCCTGGGCAAGGCAGTGAGACCCTATCTCTACATAAAAAGTGAAAGATAAAAAAAAAAAAAATAGCCAGGCATGGTGGCACATGCGTGTGGCCCCAGCTACTCAGGAGACTGAGGTGGGAGGATCACTTGAGCCTGGGATGTTAAGGCTGCAATGAGCCATGATGGGCCTGCTGCAGTCTAGTCTGGGTGACAGATCAAGACCCTGTCTAAAATAAATTTTAAAAATAAAGACAAAGAATACAAAACATTGTTGCTAAATTCTAGCTGGATGATTCCAACAAGGGCCCAAAGCTTGAAGGGTGCTCTCTTTCTAAGAGAGGTTAGCAGGGGATGGGGAGGAAGTAAAGAAGTATTAGCATCCAACCGAAACATGCCACTGAAGAAATCTAAAGGTATGAGTAGAAATAAGGAAAAAGGAATATATTTTTCATGGTGTGGTTTAATGTTAGCTATGACCTTGTGCCTCTCCCACATAAGGATACTTTGTTCTGGGAGACCAGTGAGATGAACTATGGTCAGTTTCTGGGTCCTAAATAAGGTTTAGATTAAAAACAGGCATCTGGAGGGTCTTTGGCTTTTTGTTTATCACCCTGGGCTTACCCTGCCCAACCTCTACCGGCCCTGGCATGTAGGCTTTCAGAGCCTCTGGGGCCATCCTATTCTTGGCTGGAAAACTAGGAAATGATTCCCCTGAAGTGCTCCCAGGTCAGATCACCCCTGCTCATTTCTCTGTGCTTCCCCCATTCATCTGCTCCAAAGTCCTTTTCTCCACACCTTCCCTGTCCTTTGTCCATGCTACCCTTGTATCAGAAAACTAAACTTGGGCGTAGCCAAGATGCTTTGCTCTAGTGCATAGATCCCATGACCATCTATGGGGAAAAAAACACACACACGCACACACCAAATACCAAAGTGCCACTCAAAGAAGGAAGAGGAGTGTGTGTTGTGTGTGTGCTATATGCATTGTGTTGTATGTTCTGTATTGTGCATTGTATGTGTGTTATATATGTTATGTGTGTGTTGTGTTATATGTGTGAAGGGTGTTCGCAAATGCCCCTTCCAGTGTGCTTAACTAGTAGTTATTATTTTAATAATTTTACAATTTGATCTGCACAGAATGAAGTGTGCATTTATAAAAGGTCTTCAAAGTTCATTCCAATTTTTAAAATAATAATAAGAATATCTTTAAATATTTACATACAATAATTATTGTTCTTATTGTTCCACGGCTCTGCCAGAAACTCCCCAGCTAACCAGCTATATATCCTTAGATGAGCTGCTTTGCCTGTCTGGGTTTGTTTCCTGACGTATAATGTCTCAGCTGGGTGTTCCTTGCAGCCCCATCCAGCCCTAAATACTTATGTCTTTATCATTCCATAAGGTATTTACAAAAGTCACTGCTGCTGGGGAAACAGCATAGAGCTCTGTCACCTACTAGCTGTGTGTCCTTGGGCAAGTCACTGAGCCACTCTATCCCCCAGTATTCTCCACTCTGTAAATAGGGACCATGCTAGTAACTACCTGATTAGGCCATAAACAGGATTAAATGAGTTAATCCATGTAAAGCATTTGGTAGGGCACCTGGTATAATGCAGCCATGAAACACTAGTGCTGGAACCCAAGCTGAGTGACTTCTCTATGACTTAGTTTCCCTAGCTGTCACATGGGGATGCAAGGGTGCATCCCTTGTGGAGCTGTGTGAGGATGGAGATAATAGCAGTGGCTGGCACATGGTCAACTGGTCATATGAAGTAGCCGTTACTAACTGGTGTTGCCGTTGCTATTATTCCCAGGCAGTGCCCTGAGACCAGATGAGGCAACCTCAGCAGGTGAGAGGGCTCCTCCTACAGGGGCTTAGATTCCTTCAAAACTGAAAAGGTCAGAACTCCAGAGACAGGTGGGGCTGATTTGCAACATCACTGCAACAGGGCTCTGCCCAATTCCCAGTCACCGGGCAGCCCTGGAAGCTTAGAAGACACAGGGGGAGAAGAAGGGGGAGGAAGGGAGGGTAAAACTGGTGAGCAGGAAGGGCTTCGAGTTCATCAATGCCACTCTGAAGATTACAGGAAGACTAATAGGGCCCCAAGGCCTCGGGGATGAACAAACACGATCTTTGTGGTGCGCCTTTGTTGAGTAACCACGGCAAACTCTCTCTGTGTGTCTGTCTTCCTTCCTTTTATTCCACTAATGAAAGAGAAAGAGAAGAAAGATTTCCCTTTAGAAAATCAGAAGACAAGGAGAAAACATTAAATGCTGAAACCCCAGAGGGCATCTTTAGCATCTACCCACACAAGGCAAATTCCTTGTCTCTCTAAATCCTTCCAACAGTTCAGCGGGCCAGGTGTTGATAGCTAAGTGAATGATTGTCACACTGGGGATGAACAAGTTCAGGTTGGCTCTCAGGACCCATAGGTGTCGAAGCCAAAGAGAGAGACAAGCCCTGTACTCAGTGATGTTCTAAGGCTGGGGTGTCCAATCTTTTGGCTTCCCTGGGCCACACTGGAAGAAGAATTTTCTTGGGCCACACATAAAATACACTAACACTAATGACAGCTAATGGGAAAAAAAAAATCACAAAGAAATCTTATAATATTTTAAGAGAGTTTACAAATTTGGGTTGAGCAATATTCAAAGCTATCCTGGGCTGCATGTGACCCGTGGGCCTTGGGTTGGACAAGCTTGTTCTAAAGGATCGGTATGAGACACATCTGAGGACAGGAGGTCTGACAGGACAAATGAAGCCAGGGAGCAGTTTGGAGCAGAAACCCTGACCTGGGAGCCTGAGCTCTCGTCTTGGTTTGCCACCCACCTGCTACGTGACCTTGGGCAAAGCCCCTTCACTTCCCTGGGCTTCGATTTCTACATCTGAGAAATAAAAGGGGAGAAACTAATGGTCTCTAGGCTATCTTCTTATCATTTTGTACTGAGGAAACAAATTTTCTCTGAGGCTTCATGAGGCTTCTTTCACTTAACCTCATGTTTACAAAGTTCATCCATATTGTAGCATATATCAGCATCTAACTCATTTTCATGGCTCACTAATATTTCATGGTAGGGATATACCACATTTTGTTTATATATTCATCTGTTGATGGACATTTGGATTGCTTGTGCCTTTTGGCTAGGATGAATAATGTTGTCATACACCCTTATGTACAGGTGTTTATGTGGACATACGTTTTCATTTCTCATGGGTATATACCTAGGAGTGTAATTGCTGGGTCATGTTTTAACTCTATGTTTAATTATTTGAGGAACTGCCAGACTGTTAGCCCCAGTGACTGTACTAGTTTATATTCCCATCAGTATTTTATGAGGGTTCTAATTTCTCCACATCCTTATAAACACTTGTTGCTTTCTGACGTTTTGATTCTAGCCACATTAGTAGGTGTGAAGTGGGATATCATTGTTGTTTTTCTTGCATTTCTCTGATAGCTAGTGACATTCAGCATTGGTCATTTGTGTATGATTTTCTTTTTCTTTTTTTTTTTGTTTTGAGATGTAGTCTTGCTCTGTCACCCAGGCTGAAGTGCAGTGGTGCGATATCACTCACTGCACTCTGCCTCCTGGGTTCAAGCGATTCTCATGCCTCAGTCTCCCGAGTAGCTGGGACTACAGGCACATGCCACCCCGCCCAGCTAATTTTTGTATTTTTTAGTAGAGACGGGGTTTCACCATGTTGGCCAGGCTGGTCTCGAACTTCTGGCCTCAAGTGATCCAGCTGCCTCAGCCTCCCAAAGTGCTGGGATTACAGATGTGAGCCACCGCACCCAGCCTGTGTATGATTTTCTTGAAGAAATGTCTATACAGATCTTTTGCCCATTTTAAATTGAGTTATTTATGTTGAGGTTATAACAGTTCTTTGTATATTCTGGATACTAGCCCCTGACCAGATATATGATTTGCAAGTATTTTCTCCTATTCCATTAGTTATAATTTTATTTCCTTGATAGTGACCTTTGACATACAAAAGTTTTTAATTTTGGTGAAGTCCAATGTGTCTATTTTTCCTTTTATTGCTTGTGCTGTTAGTGTCATTTGAATAATTATTTGAGAAAATAACACATATAAAATTTTTAGCACAAAATCTAGCTGATAGTAAATGCCTGATCAATATTGAGCTGCAATTATTATTTTTTTGAGACAGGGTCTCACCCTCTTGCCCAGGCTGGAGTGCAATGGCACGATCATGGCCAACTGTAGCCTCAACCTCCTGGTTATAAGGAAGTTCTATTCCAATTTCTGCTGTAAGCACTTACGTGTTCATTCTCCCATTGGTTACTTCTAAACCACCTTTAAAAATTAGCTACATTATCTGCCATGTAATGGACAAGGAACCTTACAAGAAGACCTGAGAGGTTGAATGATGATAGTCGGTCAAGCTGGTACACACACCCAGAGCCCTGTCAGACCCAAAGGCCAGTGATCTTCCCTGTACCCAACAGCAGTCTTGACACTTTTCTTCACTCTCTAGCCAACAGAGTACAAAGTCCAGATATCAGCACCTGATTCAGGAGAGGACCATTACTCAGGAAACAGGGTACACTAATAGTAGGGCAGTATAGTACACCACATGCCTATTTGACCTACTTTGCCTCTTTGACTTACACCTATTAGTATGTGTGCTATACTGCGCTACTATTAGTATGCCCTATTAGTAGGGTTGGAGAAGGGACAATGACATTCTGGAAACAGGGCATACTCATGGCAGCACAGGATCCTGTGATGAGGTGGCTGGCATAAGCTGGAGTGACTTGGAGATGGGAAACAAGACCATGAGACCTAGAGAAACCAGGGAAGGCTTCATGAAGATGGCAGCTCTTGAAAGGTGGTAGAATTTGGATGTTTGAAGCAGGAGGGTCCTGAATAAGTAAAGATGGGTAGGTAGAAATGACAAAGAGACAGTACTGACTCAATAGAAAGGTTTATGTTGGACAAAAGGAAAAACAGCTTCTAATGGGAAATAATGATAATAATAGCAGCAGCTATAATAAAAATAATTGTTCACATGCCACATGTAATTGTAAGCTTATATGAGCTCATTTTGTCATCATGATCGTTTGAAGCAGGTAACGTGATCCTCTCCTTTTACAGATGAGAAAACTGAGGCACAAACAGATGACACAATTTGTCCCAGATTACCAATTAGAACTGGGAGAAAACCAAAATCAGCCAGCAAGGTGATTATGACTAGTAGAAGGCAATAGAACACCAAAATTGTTGGAGAACGTAATAGCAAGGACCACATCCAAGACATTCATGAATCAACTCATGAAAGAACATAGACATGAATGAATATAGACATTTTTGTACCTAGACATTTTTAGGTTCAAATCATGACTCTACCCACTCCCTGGCTATAGAATCTTATCCAAGTTCTTTCACTTTCCCGAATTTCTATGCCTAAATAACAGGGCTGTTCAATCCACAGAGGGTTGATATGAGGATTTCCAGAAATCAGGGTTATCTAAATAGGGAATCGATAGACATTTAAATTAGTGGGTGGTGAGGGGTGTTGACATTATTTTCTTTCAGAGCAAGGGCCTTTGCAACACTGGATAAAAGTCAGGAGAGGCCCAAGGGTGTGAGCAAGTATATGGGGAAGTTTCAATGCCACCTTTGGATGCAGCTCTCCTTATGCAAATTCTAGCCACTTCCTAGCTCTGTGCCTAGAGACAGGTCACTCTACCTCTTTGACCTACACCTTCCCTACAAAGCAAGGGGAAGGAAATAGGCCCTGCCTCCAAGTGTCCTGAGGATTGAATGAGTCAGTATGCTGCCCAAAATGCTTGGAACAGGGCCTGCATGGGAGAAGCTCCCAGTGACAGCCCGTCTTTATTGTGAGAGGTCAGGCCAAGGACATCCCCTAAGACCTCAGAGCACACAATGTGAGTGTTTTCCAAGGACGGCCAGACCTGGTGCATCAGACAGCCTCAGTGGGAAGGCCACGTGTGCCAGCTTTTATGTTGCCATCAATAGCAGCAGGTGTCACGGCCTTGGAACTTCCTGCTCATACATCAGAATCCCACATTTTACTTCTGTGTACATCTGAGCATTCAAAAAACAAGGTGGGCGGGCCTCATTCTGCAACTGAAAAGACTCTAGCAACCACCCCTGGCCTTGCCAACACACATGCACACACACTCACACACACACACTCCCTCCAGGAACCTGCCATTGTGTGATGCAGTCTGAACTTTCTACTGTTCATATTTGAGTCAGCACCAGCCAGTGATTGCTTCCCAAGTCCTATTTATGGCAGTTTTGTTTTGGAGGAGTTAGGGAGGGTGTGGATGGCAGGCGGATATTGTTGTTTTTCAGAAAGTCTATTTAAAAAACAGAATGCCGTGACTGGTTAACTTTGAAACAATGAGGATAAACATATGCTGTCGGTGATGGTTTTCCCTTCATTCATTTGGGCTTTTGTTAAAATGGCAATGGACATTGATATCCTATTGTTGAGATAGGATTGCCCCCCCTTCATTTGTTAAAAAGATAAAGAGATCTGAAAAGTGGTCCTAAATATTTGAAATATTTGAATCAATTCCTCGATGAATTCACCATAAGCTTCTACACTTGTCCATAGCAGCTCTACTAAAATCACAATTAGTTCATTCTATACATAATTATGTATTTAACTCCTGTCTTCCTCCAGCCAGACAGAGGGTGTCAGTTACCTCAACAGGGCCTATTAGCTCAGGAGACAGGCAGAAGAAGAATCAAATTTGGATCTGCCTTTTATTTGCAGCGACAAATGATTCAACCCTTCAGAGCCTCAGTTTCTATGAAACAAAAGTAATAAATCCCTTTCATTCACTTGCCCATTCACTTATTAAAATAGTATTTGAGTGCTAATTTTGGCTGAGCAGTGTTTTAGGGACTGGAGATAGGGCAGTGAACAAGTGAACGAAGCAAACACAGATTCCACCCCACTCTTGTGTAGGATGATAGACCATAAAGAATAAAATAAATAAGAAAACTACATAGCAAATTAGACAAAGAAAAATTAAAGCAGGGAAGGAGGCTAGGAAGACAGACAGAGAGAGAGAGAGCATGTGTGTGCGCGTGTGTGTGTGTGTGTGTGCGTGTGTGTGTGTGTGTGTGTGTGTGTTGCAGTAGCAGGTTTAGGTAAAGGGCCCAGAAAGGACTCACTGAGGAGGTAACATTTCAGGACAAGATGTAAAAGAGATGAGAAAGCAAACCATGCAGATACCCGAAGAAGGCTATTTCAGGCAGAGGAAATAGTATGTGCAAAGGCCCTGAGGTGAGAGTTTGCCTAGTGTGTTGGAGGAACAGCAAGGAAGCCAGGAGTGGATGGGAGGTTGGAGAGTAGGAGATGAGGTCAGAGAGATAATTTTGCAGAGTGGTCTGAGGGTTAAGTCATTATAGGAGCCACATACATAATAGGATAGCAATGACCAGGTTTTAGATGGTAAACCCATGAAAGTGAGTGAGTGAAGAATGAATAGATATCTCATTTATCCATCATGACACTAGGACTCAGAGAAGTCCATTGACTTGCTTAAGGCCACTAGCTGGCTTGTGAAAAATTTAAGGCTAGACTTCAGGACCATCTTTTCCGAGGTTTTCCAAGAGTTAATCTTTCTTTCCTACATTACTGACACAGATGAAAATCTTCATCAATGTCCTCCCCCAACCCAAATCCAAATGCCAACAGTTGCCATTGTGAAATGGAGGGACACTGCTAAACATCTTACAATGCACGGGGCAGTCCCCACTACAAAGAATTGTCCAACCCTAAATGTCAACAGTGCCAAGGTTGAAAAACCTTGGCTGAGGGGAAGAACCCCAAATCTATTGTTTTGTCTTTCCTCTTCAAACCCCATTGTTTTAAACTCTACATGGTGATTCTCAAGGGTGTGTAGAGAGCTGATAGTACCAGAATGAATGAAGGGTGGGACCCACAAGTCCCTCCACCCACTGGGAGAGGGAGTGCGGATTCCTGGCTAGGATGAACTCAATTATATTTCCCCTTCCAGGGATCTTTGTTGAAGGCATTAGCATGGACTTGGGGACAAGGGTGGAGCTTGGAGCACAGTTTTCCAAAATAAAGTCACAGATAAGAGATTAAGATCCACAAGACTATTGCTCTGCTATTCAGAGCACAAAGCCTTTCTTTATCCAGGGCTTCCCTTAGGCACAGAGGGCTAACAGATATTATCAGAGTAACACATGAAAATAATATTGTCTTAGTGCAAAAGGGTTGATCTTCTCTCCTACATGGAGCTCAGTACACTTCCATCCAAGCTAGCTCATGCTATTTCACAAGGATCAGGCTATATGGATAATTTATTAAGCCAATTTGGAAGGAGGGATTGAAACTGAGAGCAAGGTTAATGACACACCCAGTGGGAATACAATGGGGACGAGGAAGAAGATGCATCTTCTTGAGTCTCAGACTGTTGTTCCATTCGTTCATTCATCCATTCACTCATTCAACATCCTGGGTGCTCACAATGTATCAGGTTCTATGCTAGACCTTGGAGACCCAACTGTGGGTAAGATGTGATCCCCGTTCCCCTTAAGGAGAGGGGGATTCACAAGCTAGAGGGGAAGGAAGACAAAGATATAGATGCCATGACATACAGGCTCTTCTGGAATCTAAGGACCATGCAGACTGATGCAGGCTGCAATGAGAATGATTAGGGATGTGTGGGAACTGAGGGATGTATCTACTCAACCCAGAGAGCTCGGGGAGGGCTTCCTGGAAGAGGTGAGGTCTATACCAGTTTCTCAACTTTGACACTATTGACATTTAGGGCTAGATAATTCTTTGTGGTTGGGGGCTGCCCTGTGCATTGTCGGATGTTTAGCAGCACCCATGGCCCCTACTCATTAGATGTCAATAGCATCATACTCTCTCAAGTTATTACAATCAGACATTGCCAAGCTGTCCCCCAGCAACAAAATCACAATCCCCCCACTGAGAACACTGGTCTAGACAGAGGAGCAAAACAGATACCCTGGAAGGCCTGGACCACTATACTATGTGGCCTTGTGCTGCATGAGCCATGATGGGAGTTTGAATTTTACTCCAGGATCGGTGGAAGCCACCAGAAGATTGAAACTGGGTGAGTGGTATGATCTGGTCTTGCTTTTCAAAAGCTTCTCATTGAATGGATAGGAGGGGCAAGAGTGGCTCAGGGAGATTAGAAGGAAAGTCTTCCACAATGAACCATTCTGGGGCCTGCAAGTGACGGCAGTGAACCTTGCTTGGCACCAGGACTGCAAAGGGGAGCCTTCTCCCTGGTCAAGCCTGGGCCCCCGAGCTGACACATCCTCCTTGGCAGTGGTCCAGGCCCTGAGCCAGGGAGGAGTTCCTCTCCCAGGTCCTCCGGCTCCAGGGGACAATGCTGACATCCCAACCATACCATGACTCAGAGCAAAGGGCCTTTCACTTTCTGGAAAGATCAACTATGGCCCAGTTTTCAAGGAGGATTAGGTGTCAAAGAGAGAACATTGAGCCTTCACTTCAGAACCCAGGCACTGAGTTCACATCAGCCAAAGAAAAGGAACTCAAACCAGACACCTATAATATGCCAGGCAGGGGCCACACCGGACACTTAGCATACTGAACCCCACATTTAAGCATACAGCATGCTGTCCTGTCACATTATCTGCTGTATACATGACCATCTTTCAAGGAATTAGAATAACATGCCCGAACTCTAAACTATTTGAAATGTAATTTCCATGACATTCCTTATAAATATCAATTATCACTGTTCCGAAGGAGGTATTGCCTTCTTAAAGATGAAGAAATAGGCTTAGAGGGGTGACATGAATTGCCCAGATTCACAACAGCTAGGAAGCTGTCCATCTAAGAATAAAATCTGAGCTTATTCCTTGTCACTGGGCTCACATTCAAAGCCCATGAGACTTCACAAATCAACATGTAAAACTATAAGTATTAACACTTCTTAAAATTCTGGACATTGGAATTGTTGGGAACTGTGATGGTTAATACTGCATGTCAACTTGATTGGATTGAAGGATGCAAAAGTATTGATCCTGGGCGTGGTCTGTGAGGGTGCTGCCAAGGGAGATTCATATTTGAGACAGTGGGCAGGGAAAGGCAGACCCACCCTTAATCTGGGTGGGCACCATCTAATCAGCTGCCAGCATGGCTAGAATATAAAACAGGCAGAAAAACGTGAAAAGACGAGACGGGCCTAGCCTCCCAGCTTACATCTTTCTCCCGTGCTGGATGCTTCCTGCCCTCAAACATCGGACTCCAAGTTCTTCAGTTTTGGGACTCAGACTGGCTCTCCTTCCTCCTCAGATTGCAGATGACCTATTTTGGGATCCTGTGATCATGTGAGTTAATACTTAATAAATTCCTATATATATGTAACTAATAGGATATATATATATCTAGTTAGTTCTGTCCCTCTAACTAGTATATATCTAGTTAGTTCTGTCCCTCTAGAGAACTGACTAGTCAGTTCTGTCCTCTCTGTCTCTCTCTCTCTCTCTCTCTCTCTCTCTCTCTCTCTCTCTCTCTCTCTCTATATATATATATATATATATATATATACACATACACACACATATGTAGATATCCTATTAGTTCTGTCCCTCTAGAGTTCCTGATTAATACAGGAACTATCATTATATTTGTCCTTTATTTTTCAAATTTATCAAAAGGAAAAACTTGTGGCAGTAGCCTTGCAGCTAATAAAAACAACAGCAGTGCATACCAGGTATTTGAATGACTATATGACATGCAATACTTCTCTCAATGTTCAGACCCATGCTATGAAGTCAAGGCTACTGTTGTTCACATTTTACAAATTAAAAAATCAAGACTCAAAAAGATCTGACACTAGAAAGTGGCAGGGCCACAATTTAAGGTGAGATCGATCTGACTCCAAAGCCCTCAGGGAACACAGCATGGTTTTTAGTGACTGTCCACACTGTGTGCTTCGTTCTCCTTGGGCTGAAGTCATGGAGACAATTGCAACCAGCAGGAAGAGCATGGGCAAGATACCACCACCTGTGCCCATTGCCTTTCTTTCCTGCAGAATCACAGAGCTTTTATGCAGCACCAGCCAAGAATCCCAGGCTCTCAACTTGGTCTTGGAAAGAGAACAGGCTTTTCCCCAACCCTTTCAGATCTACGATGCTTCTGAAACCTCAGGCACCGAGGAAGGTCACTTGGACAAAGCTATCCACCAAGCCCTTACAAAAAAGGGTGCACCAGCATTCACGTTGCAGCAGACAGCAATCATCTTAAGCTGTTGCAAGATCAAATTGCTCTCCTGCTTAGAGCATCTCCTTTTTTTTTCATCAGATCCAAACTCTTTATGCAGCCCCTGCTGATTTGCCCACCCCAAAATTCCCACCCCTGTCTCCCTTCCTGGTCATCCCAGCCTTCCAGGTGCTGCCCGAACACCCCGCACTCTCCGTGGGCCTTTGTGCTGACTGTCCACTCTGTCTGAAACACTGTTCTCCCCATTCTCCACTGGTTCATTTCCTTCTTAGGTCTGATCAGGTCAGTAGAAGGGAACCACATAAGGTTTCAGAACAGAAGATGCCACAGGGGAAAAGACTCACTTTTACTGAGTACCTACAATAGAGCTGGCAACATATGGCATTTAATTCAATCCTCTCAACCACCTTTTTCGGTCGTTTTACAGAGAAGAAAACTGAAGTCTAAAGAGGCTTTGTCCTTGCCCAGGGCCAGACAATTTCCAAAGGTGGAGGTGAGATTTAAACCTCTGCTCATGGTCCGCCCTGTTCCTTTTTCCTCTCCATGCCCTTGGTCAAGGCCCTTTGAGTCATGAGCTTGGAAAACTGATGAAAACTCAGCTCTGGGGCAATTCAATTGTCTGCTTGGAGGCTGGCAGCCTTCACAAAGCATCACTAACCTCCCAGGAGGCAGAATACACCAAGGGTTTGAACTTCTCGTGCAGCTAGCCAATTTGCTGGAGAATAAAAGAGCAAAAGCACCTAGGAGCATAAAATCAACCAGTAAATCTAGGGATTAAAAGCCTCTTAGCAACCCTGCTACCTGTAATTACAGCCCCCAACAAAGAGGAACCCTGGCAGATGGAGGATAAGGAAGAATCCAACCAGTAACTGGCATGGGAGTCTTGCCAAGATGGTTTATGGCCCTACCTTGTGTCTTCCCAAACAACCTTCTGCCTGATCTCTATCAACCTCAGGCCCCAAGGGCAGCTGTGCTCCCATGTTATCTACAGATCTGCAGCACGGGGCTCAAGAACCAAACAAGGCTTAAATTCCCACTCAGGACTATTTGGTGGATTAAGGTGAGACTCCCAGACATCACTTGGGGGCCTGAAGGGAAGTCCACAGAGCACAGAAAGTGTGTGATCTTTGATGGAATTGTCATCTCACCTCAACAAGCCCAAGAATGCCACCTAGCAAGAGAGATGCATGCCAGATTGCAGAGGCAGAAGGAGGTCCCTCCTCTTCTTAAACTCCAGAGCACCAGACTGACCTGATGTTTCACTCTCTTACCCAATCCTATGGACTGCCTAGAAAATCTAAATGTCTGAGGCACGCGGCATTCTCTCCAGTTGGATCTTGGCAAATTTTTTCCAGAAAGGACCAGATAGTAACTCTTTACGACTTTGCAGACCACAGGGTCTTTGTCTCAACTATGCAACTCTGCTGCTATTGCACAAAAGCAGCCTTGGACAATACGTAAATAAATAAATGAGGCTGGTTGTGTTCCCATGAAATAGACAATGATCCAGATTTAGCCTCTTGATCGCTATTTGTCAACCCCCACTTTACAAAGTATGGGAGATTCTTAAATCCCTGTAACAGCATTTCACGAAATTGTCTTTTGTCCAGGGTTCTGAGAAAGTTCTTCTGAAGGGGAAGCTTTTCCTGAAAAGGTCAATAAATGTGGCTTTGCTTTCTTCTTGTGACCTACTTTCCCTGGGCCAGGTTGCAACCAACGTGAGCACCTCACCCCACCAGAATCCAGAATTGGAGGGAATCACAAGATCTGTCTGCTACTGCATCTCCAGTGTTTCAGAAATCTTTGGCACATAGTAGGCACATCATAAATAATTCTTCAATAGATGAATCTGCTGAGATTCTGGCTGTAACCCAAAACATTTGGGACAGATTATTTTTTTCACCCATTCAATTATAGCTCTGCTGTTCCAGCCTGGCCTGTCCCAGGAACTTCTAAAGGGTTCAAATTAGAGTTCTCATGCTTGGCAGCTCTCCTGTGGTTGGCCACTTAGGCAAGTTAGAAATGCTCTTCCCTCTCACTCCCTTAGCTAACCTAGCTGTAAATCACTATCCAAAGATGTAAGTTGGTAAGTAGAAGACAATCCAGTGAGCATTTCCAGATGAATCATTCCGTGAATGTTCCATCTTTAATTACTTATTAAAAGCAGACCAGATTTTCCTAATTGGGTGCAGTGAACATGTGTTAATTTTATAATTAAAAAGAAAATTAAACACTCTTTTCATGTGCAAACTAGGATAGAAATCCAGGAAGAAATTTTCTCTTAAAATACTTGATGAGGTTTCTCAAATTTCAGAGCAAGCACTAAGGTGCTTGTTAAAAACGTCGTTCCCAGGCTAGGTGTTGTGGCTCCTGCCTGTAATCCCAGCATTTTGGGAGGCCAAGGTGAATCGCTTGAGCCAAGGAGTTGGAGACCAGCCTGAGCAATAAAGTGAGACTTGTTTCTACAAAAAAATTTTAAAAAATGAGCAGAGCATGGTGGCATGTGCCTGTGGTCCCAGCTACACAGGAGGCTGAGGCAGGAGGATCACTTGAGTCCAGGAGGTTGAGGCTGCAATGAGCCATCATTGTACCACCGCACTCCAGCTTGGGCAATAGGGCAAGACCCTGTCTCAGAAAAGAAAAAAAAGCCATTCCCAGGCCTAACTCCCAGCCACTCTTATGGCCATAGGTCTGGGGTGGTGCCTTCGACTCTGCATCTGGAAGCCATGCCTCTAAATGATCCTAATGCCAGCAGAGCTGGACCACACTTAGAAGAATCACTGTCCTGGTCAATGCTTTTGATCAGCTTCTGTCAATTGCTGCACCTTTTGAGAGGAAAGTCTAAGACACGAGAGGTCCCTCCAACCCTGTGCCTGCCTCCCCCAAAAATGACTCTACATTTTTTAAAAGGGTCACGCACATTCTGTGGCTGCTCCCAAGGACTCCAGCCTGGAATTACCTGTGAGGACTTTTTCCTCCAGTTTCCCCCAGTGTATCTGCTAGGTTGCCTATGAATGGAGGTACCTTCAACTCCAAAGCAACTTAGGCTGTTTAATTGCACTAATTGCCACCCCAGGCTGTAAGTTTTATGTTAATGCTCTACCAGGTGATTCATGTGGTAAATTACACACTTGAGATTTCACCAAGATTTACCTGCTAATCCTAAACTCACTTAAGACACTACTCATGCCTGCAACCCCAGATCCGGCAGCTGGGCGAGAGGTACAGATAGGCCTAGAGACCTCACACAATGCCTTCTTGCATCCTTGTCTCCATCTCGATGATTTTTCTCCATGTCATCTGTCCTTGGACAATTCTGACACTCCCTACCCTGCAGCAGGCAGGACCCTACTTGCAGACAAATGCCCTGGCCTGGCCACATCCTCAACTCTCAGGGATGGATTACAATTGAATGGGTGAAAAAATAATCTGTTCCAAATGTTTTGGGTTATAGCCAGAATCTCAGCAGATTCATCCATTTAAGAATTACAGTTAATATTCTTTCAACCCTCTAACCACTTCTTAACAGTTGTCTTCACATCTATCTCTTCTTATTCTACACTGACTTGGTGGAAGTCTTCAGATTAATCTTCCTAAAGCACCATTTTGTTCATCTTGCTCACAGCTCAAACACCCTCTGTGACTCCCACTGGCCACTGTTCAAACCCTTCAAGCTGACTTTCGTAGTCCAGTCCTGCTCTGGTTATCTCCTGCTGCATAACAAACCACCCCAAACTTAGTGACGTGAAGCAACAACCATCATGTATTATTCTCATCTCTCATGGTTCTAGGAAGCAACTAGTTTCAGCAGGATGGATTGTGTTAGAGTCAGATAGTGGCAGGGTCTGGAGGCATCCTGAAGGCTTTCTCCTTTACATATGTGGCATCTGGGCTGGGGAGATTAAACAACTGGGGCTCAAATAGCTCGGGCTCCTTGGACATCTCTGCTCTCTGTCATCTCTCTCTGTGTTCCCTCTACCATGGGCTCAAAGCTCCAAAGGTGAATGTCTCAAGAGGGAGGGCCAGGCAGAAGCTGCACCTCCTTATGACCTTACCACCTAGCCTCAGAAGTCACATAGCATCATTTCTACCAAAAGTCACAAAGATCCTCCATATCCAAGGGGACAGAATTAGCATCCACCTCTTGATAGGCAGAGTAGCAAGAATTTGTGGTTGTGTTTTGAAACCACTATAAGCCCCAAGCTCCTTTTTACAAACATGGGCCAGGATTTCATTTCTCAACTGAGCCATCTGCTTCCAGTCAAACTATTCCTTCTTTTCTTTCTTTTTTTTTTTTTAATTCCTTATTTTCAAAGCACACCTAAAACTTGCCTCGTCCATGACTCTGTTCACCCCATTATCTTTGTAGGGACGCCCTCACCTTGCCGCCATCTGCATAACTAAATCCTACTGACCCTGTGAGTCCATCTCATCAGAAACATTTCCGCTCCCAAGCTCAGTCTCTTTCTTATGCCAATTATTATTTGTTCAATTCATTGAACAACTAATCATTCTCTGCTTTGTGCTATCACTTCTATTTCCATCTTGCTATTTGGCTATGTCTTTTAGAATTTAACATCTCATGTGTGGATAATTTCTCCTTAGTTCCCTGGTCAAGTCTTCATGGTAATCACCATCTATTGGATGCTTACTATATGTCAGCCACAGTACTTTGCCTTTTGCTGACAGTAACTCACCTATTCTGGACAGCAAGCTGGAGTCACAGGGGTTATTAGTAACTCATTTTGCTGATAAGAAACCAAGGCACTGATAGGTTACCTTCTGTGGCCAAGTTCATGCAGGCTCAGAAGCAAGAAAAGTGGAATTCAAACCCATTTTTCCATGTTCCAAAGCCTAGTCTCTTCTCCCCTTTGTTGAAACACCTCTTACTTTTATCTTCGTCTCTTCCATTTTCTCACTCAGGACATCCACAAAAACACTTTCCATGTGATTTTAATTTCTCTGCCTTGGTTTGATTTTAATATCTTTACCCGAGGTCCAGGTACAAGGCCAGACACAAGCCTAGCATGAAGAAATTTCTTAGGAATAAGTAAAAGTGCATCCGGTTAATATTTTTGGTGTGATACGGAAGAATGGATTTAGCTACAAGGTTGTTGACACAAGTTCGGAAGACTTTGGAAAGAATCACTGGGTCTTCTCCTGTTTCCTTGGTTGTCTTTATTGCCTGGGCAAACCCTTCCTAACCTCAATGTTTTTCCACTCCTCAGAAACAAACATCACATTCTTATACATTCTTTAGGCTTCAGCCTTTCAGAGAAGCCTTACAACTCCCCTGACCTACCACCACAAAACGACATCAGTTCTCCCAGTATGCTAGCAGGGGGTGAATTTCGTTCCCCCCAAAAGATAGGTTGAAGTCTTGACCCTAGGAACTAAGCATTTGATCTTATTTGGAAATCGGGTCTTTTCAGATGGAATCAAGTTAAGATATGGTCACCATGTGGGCCCTGCTCTGACATGACTAGCATCCTTATAAGAAAAGGAGAACAGACACACAGGGAAAACACCATGTGACAACAGAGAGCAGAAGGTGATGCAGCCAAGGGTTTCCCCAGAAGCCGGAGGAGCAAGGAAAGATTTTACCTGCAAAGCCTTCACAGGGAGCACTGCCCTACAAACACCTTGGTTTTGGACTTCCAGCCTCCAGTGCTGCAAGGGAATATATTTTTTTGTTGTTTTAAGCCACCCAGTTGTAGTACTTTGTCACAGCAGCAATAGGAAATTAATGCACACCTTATCCTACTTTACCGCATATGTCATACCTAGAATCAAGCCATTTGTATAAGTATCTATTTAATAGCCATTTGCCAGGAAAGAACCAAGTCCTTGAGAGCATCAACTCCATTTTGCCTGCAGCCACGCCCAGGGAGCACAGAGTAGGCCCTCAGTAAATAGCCCCTGCGTGCATCCATGAATGGAAGTCTCCCTCCTCCATGTTAACTAAACACTCTCAAGGCCTGTCGCCCCTTCTGGAGGCCCCAGAACCACACTGCCACGGCTGGGCTCTTGCTGGAGTCTGCTCTCCCTGGGACACACAGAGAGGATTGTGTGGATTCACAAGGACCTGGAGGCATGCGTGTGCTCCATCTCACTGACTTAATCCCACTGCAAGTAGGGTACCCCGAGGATCATCAGAGACCTGCCCTGTAAGCTCCTCACCTCTGAGCAATTAACTAATGGGTAGTTGGAAGTAATCAAAGACTCCCATCGGAGTCTGTCAGCCAAGCCTCCCTTGGAAGTCTGAAAACAAAGACTATCTGCAATGCCTAGGCTTCAAAACCAGGGAAATAAACCTGTATCAAATCAAATTCCCTGCCTCCAGCTGAAGAATGTACAGGCTCCTGTTGTATAGCCTTCTGGCATTCTTAGGGCAAGAACTGTATTCAGCCACTAACCTTTCTCTTAAATTGCCTATCCAAGATAGGCCATTATTATAATGAAATACCTCAGCTGGGAATGTTCTTGGTTGCAGCTAAAAGGTTTTCTTTCTGACTACTGTGCTCCTAGGCGCTGCCTTAATTTGGGGGAACTTCCCTTTGGCTGTTTTGAAAGGATTTTGACAGGTCTGTTTATATTTTATTTGATTTGCTTCATTTCAGTGTGTGGGTCAGCATGCCCCAGTCCTAATGATGATGAAAACTGGAAAAGATGGGGCAGCCCCAAGAAAGGATTAAGGAAAGAGCCATCATTTTAGTGAGGGAGAAATGGGAGTCAAGCCTGTGGTTCTAGAAAGCTCCGCGTCCTGCCCTGTGGCAAACCCACCAGGAGCTGGAAGAAAGTGCTCAGACGTGGTGTTTGCAGCCTTAGGACCCTCTGGGCCTCCTTGTTTGAACCACAATGCCCTTTGCACAAGGCTGTCTCAGGAGCAGCTGATTTTAAGAGAAGGGTTAAAGTTCATGCTAAATCCCAAAACGCTTAGAGCTCAAATTCAAGGGAGGCTAGGTGGTCAGAGGCCTTGTCAATACTTGAAGAGTAAAATGCTTGAACGTCCATCAAAGGTCCTGTTTGATCTGATATCTGGGTCTGCCCTCTCTTCCAACATCGAGGCTTCAACCCAGAGGTCTCAAGTTGGTGGTTCCAGGGCCAAATCTGGCACGTGGATATGTTTTGTTCAACCTGCTCAGTGTTTGTTGGTTTTATTTACATTTCCCTTAATGTTTTTTTTTTTTTTTTTTTTGCTGAGTCATCAAGATAAAAGAAAACGGGAAATTTCACATTAAAATATCCAGCTCTCCTTGCAAAATCAGAAAATCTAGCCCCCTGGGCTTGCATTTCCATGTGGCAACCGTTGACTATAAATGAAGAGCAGCCAACCCCTGGCAGATGAGGGGCCTCCTTATTCCCCATCACTCATGTCTCTGACCTGCCTGGCTCTGGTAAGCAGACTAGTTTGAGACCCCCACTCATCTAACCATTCAGCAACACAGCCCTCGTATTTATACCACAGTGTCAAATTAAATGTCACCCTTTCCAGAAAGACTCTCAAACCCTCCCAACGGAAAACTTCCCACCTGGCCCCACCATAGGTTTGTGTTTCATTTGCCTAACTTATTTGGGTATGGATCCTCCCCTCTGTCTGGGTGATGTGAATAACTTCATTCATCTCTCATGACGTAACACACATCATCTCCTTCAGGAGGCCTTCCCTGATTGCTCCTCCCTCCTCCAGCCTGCTGTCTTTTGCTGCTTCTGCCTATCCAAGCTTTTATCATCCTTGTTTCTTCTCTGTCTCCCCTGCTGGGCAGGAAGAGGGCAGGGGCTGAGCTCTGTAAATCCAGCAGGAAGCATGCAGCTTGGCTTCTGGGAGGGTCTCTCGGGAAGTGTTTGCAGAATAGAGAGAAAATGGGACAGAAAGGAAGAAAAAGCTCATTTGCTCAGGATATTCAGTTAGAATGCTGACAGCAGGAAGGCATCATCATAATAGTAATAATAATAATAATAGTTCCTAGCACCTACTAGGGGCTTTGTATGTGAGTCTTTTACATATTAATTCATTGTGTTAGTTTCAGTCCTCTGGGAAGCGGAAGTCTAGATGGAATGAGACATTTACTGAGGGAGATGTCTGTGAAGGATAAAGGGGAATGAAGCAGGAGTAGTCCAGGAGAACCTGCACATCAGGATGCAGGTCCCACAGGGGAAGAAGAGAAGGGAGGCGGACTGGGCAGGAAGAGCCTG
Organism: Homo sapiens; assembly: GCF_000001405.40. Lineage (NCBI taxonomy): Eukaryota > Metazoa > Chordata > Mammalia > Primates > Hominidae > Homo > Homo sapiens. The sequence goes on from NC_000012.12 coordinate 115,450,720, forward strand.
CAGGATAGGTCTGGTCCACTCCGAGAAAGTCTCTGCCTGGTGATGAGGAGTGGCCCGCAAAGATCGGCCATCAGAGCAGTCCCAAACCAGGCAGGAGAGGCTGGGCTCTAGCACCTCTGCCATGCCCAATCATTGGTTGGCGGCAGCTGGGAGAGCGGGTCCTGGCTGTGCATGCTTGGGTGGATCTTAAGTTGGGTCATCTGGAGGCTCTCAGCTTGCAGGACTTCACACACGGAGGTCTGAAAAATCCCAGCTCCAGGGCTGCAGCACCCAGATAATCCCCACAACGCCCCTAGGCACCACTGCTGCTATTGCCAAGCTGCGCCTTAGGGGAAGTGACATGACCTGGTCCAAAGCTACAGAGCTCTTAGAGATGGAACCAGATATCAATACCAAATCAGGCGTGTAGCCACCCTGCCCTTGGATCCTCGGCAACCCTCGGGGAAAGACAGGTTATTAGAGTCTTGGGTTGATGGCCCAAGGCCCATTTTTCTGAGAAGGAATATGGGACCCTGAGCCAGGAGTTGACTTGGCCATTCCCGAGGGAGGCCAGCAGGCACACCCAGGACTCCTGGCCTCCTGCAGCCGAGAGGAAGGAGACTCCGAGGCACCGATCCTTGGGGTTAGCAGGAGGTGGATGTCCACCAGCTCCTTTGTCAACCCTTCCCCAGCCCCACTAATGATGATAACACCAGCCTGGTCCTACAGAACAGCTTCTATGTGTTGGGGACTGTTGAACCACTTATATCTTTGCCTGTCTTTAACCTCCCGGCATCCCTGTGACGCAGACACCTTTATTCTTCCCGTTTCCCAGGGGAGAAGATAGAGATGCAGAGAGGCAAGACACTAGCCCAAGGCCACAGTTAGAAAAAGGCAAAGTTCAGATGCAAAGCCAGGTAGGCCCTGCTATTCAAGGCTCTGCTAACTTCAGCCAAGCAAGTAAAAAACAATGGATGTCCTGTGAACAGTGGCATCTTTGGAAAACGTCGCTGTTTTTATTAATCTCTCTCAAGATAGATGTTGCTCAAACACAGCAGCGTCGTGACAGTGCCAATAGCCAGCAGTCTCCTGTCCGCGTGGGTTGCGAGCCCCGGGCGTGGACGGAGTTGGGAGCGGAGGGCGGCAGGTGCCAGCGGGGCCCGCCTCTCCCTGCAGGCGGCCCCGGCAAGTTCACGGCCGGCCCGGGGCGAGGGGCGAGCGGCGCGCGGCCGTGCGGCTCATTCTACCGCCCTGCGTGCGAAGGGGAGGCCGCGCCCCCGCGCCCCTCGCTCGCGCCGTGCCTGCCGCCGCCACCCGCCCGGCCGCCGGGCCGGCCACTGAGCGGCCGCTGCAGACTCGGCGGCGCCGGCGCACCTGCAATCAGGCCCCGCGCCGCGCCGCCTCCTCGAGCCCAAGGCCGCCGCGCGCCGCGCTCGCCGCTGATAAGAGGCGGCGGGGGAGGGGCGCAGGATGCTGGCGTTGCGGAAGGGCGGGGGATGGGTGGGCAGCTGGAGCGGGCTCCCCTCCCCTCCCCTCCCCTCCCCTCCCCTGCCCTTCCTCTCCCTCTCCCTCTGCGATGTCTCTCCCGAAAGTGTGTGACTTGCCCATGTCTGTCTCTTGTCTGCGCCTCTCCCCTAAATTCCCTCCCTCCCCAGCCCTCGCCGCGAGCGTGTGTGCGCGCGTGTTCGTGTGTGTGTGCGTGTGCATGTGTGTCTGTGTCTCCAGTTGCTCCCTGTCTCCTGTACCTGTCTCTGTGCACTTCCTGACCTTTCTGTCTCCTACTCCCCACCTCTCTGATTCTCTCCACCTCCTGCTGATTCTGTCGCTCTCTTCTCTCTTAGCATCCCCTCTTAGTTTCTCCCTCTCTCCCTGTTCTATTTCTCTCTTCCTCACCTAACTTGGAGCCAGTCCCTCCCCTCTCCCTGTGTCTGTCTTCTCTCCCTCTCTCCATCTTTCTGACTCTGACCTGCCTCTCCCCTTCTCTCTCCCTTCCCTGTCTCTCCGAGTCCTTGCCTGTCCTCCTCTCTCTGCATCTTTTCTTTCTGCGTCCCCAACTCCCTCTCACTTCTCCGTTCTTTCACTCATTTGTCTGTATCTTCCCTTTTCTTTTCTCGCCCTGGGCTCCTCCCCATAACTCTGCGTGTCCCCTGCCCATCTCAGCATCCTGTGGCACTTTCTGCATGGCCGGCCCGCCTGCAGGGACAAGGCCTTCAGAGCCAGCGGTTGCAGGAATAGCTGGACCCCACAAGGGGCTAGGCTCAGCAGGTGTCCTGACTTCAGGGGGCAGGACTGTGCTCACCTGTGCCTTTCATGTAAGGCTCTGGCGCACTTCACAAACAGTCATTAAGGCCTGCCTGGGGGCAGGTCAGGGAATATCACAGCCTGGGCTGTTTGGTTATCTTCATTATTAATACACACTCCCCTGCCTTAAATGAGTTTAGTGCAGGGGACAGAATCCCGACTGACGCCTGGAGAGATTAAGGTTTCCGAGGGTTGCACAGGCCAAAGATGACAAACTGATACAGCAGGGATGTGAGTTTCTGCTGCTTCCTTCCTGCAGTGCAAGCCTCTGCCAGGAGCTTATAAACCACCCTTTCTGAGACGGCTCTGGGGGTCAAGAGATGGGGCTAGATTTATCTGAATGGGTCCTGGCCTGGTGGTCTGCTTTGCACCAAACATGCAAGCAGGGATCTCAGTGGAACCAGCCCCTTTTGCACTTGAATAAATTCAGGAGCGATGGGAGAAGAACAGTGACATAGGGTTTATTTGTGTATTCATTTTTCTGACCAGGGGATGCATCCAGAAAGTATCAGTAGTTAAACAACAAGGGGGCTCAGGAGTTGCCATGCGTCAGCATCTCAGAAACTGCATCTGGGGCAAAGCCACTGGGCCAAGAAGGCCAACAAGGTGGTGCCAAAAGCACATTCATTGGGCAGCTTTGCTTCATGAAAGCAGCTCAGATCCACATTCAAGCCAATTTGCCCAGACAACACTTCCCCCCACACCAACTCCCCAAAAGGGATATTTCTTTTTTTTTTTTTCTTTGAGATGGAGTTGCCCAGGATGCCCAGGCTGGAGTGCAGTGGTGCGATCTCAGCTCACTACAACCTCCACCTACAGTGTTCAAGCAATCCTCCTGCCTCAGCCTCCCAAGTAGCTGGGATTACAGGCACCCGCCACCATGCCTAGCTAAGTTTTGTATTTTTAGTAAAGACAGGGTTTCACCATGTTGGCCAGGCTGGTCTTGAACTCCTGACCTCAGGTGATCCACCCACCTTGGCCTGTCAAAGTGCTGGGATTACAGGCGTGAGCCACCACACCAGGCCCCAAAAGGGCTATTTCTGGCAGCTACTCTGGTGGCAGCAGTCATAACTAATGCTCACTGTTTAAGCTCACATGTCCCTGTAAAGAAAGAGCCTGTGTGTTGAAGCCTCCGGGATGGCTGGAATTGGGGGAAGGGAGAGAGACAAAATGCTATGGCCATTTGAGTATTTTTCACCAACTCTGCCTCCAGTATAAGAAGTTTTGGTCTAGTTGGGCACCGTGGTGCATGCCAGTAGTCTGTTATTCGGGAGGCTGAGGCAGGAGGATCACTTGAGGCCAAGAATCCGAGGCTATAGTGAACTATCATCGCACCTGTGAAAAGCTACTGCATTCCAGCCTGAACAACATAGTGAGATCTTATTTCTAAAAATAGATAGATAAATAAGAAAGTTAAAGTTATTGGTCCAATACTGTCAGTGAAAGGCCTTTGCTCTGTGACTTGCCATCTCTGGGCCTTAACCATAAAAGAAGACACTTAATCTAACAATTTATTTGGCCCTTTCAAGTTTCTAGTCAAGCAGTTTCTATCTTTTGACTTAATACACACTTCCCCTAAATGTGTATTAAGTCACTAAATATATATAGTATCCTTAAAGTAAGTGTATCTTTATTCCAGGGCTGCAGGTAGGCCACACTCCCTGTTCCAGATCTCTGGGCTTTGTTGTTGTTTGTTTTGGAGACGGGGGTCTTCTCTTTTTTAAAACTAGACCAATCTAGTGAAATGCCATGACATTTTATTTTGAAAGACTCATGCTAGGTTATATACTAAGCATGCAAACATTCTTGAAATCTACTGTAACCTCACTTTGATAGCAAATACTAGTCTACCGGTGAGTTGAAAGACTTAAATTTTTTTAAACCATTTTTTTAATCATTTGCAGATATTTAAATAATTTTTAATAGCATCACTTACTTTGACTATCATTGTCAAAGATGACAACTTCACCTCTCTGCTTAGTAAGTAGTTCAGCTAATAAAGTACAATAAAACAAAGTGTCTATTGTAGAATCCAGATCCTAAGCATATAGGTATTGACTAAAATTCTTCCAGCTTTCCTGTTTATATGAACAATTTTATAATAAATGCTAGGAACAAAAGTATAGAATGTCCGCCAGCACCTAGGAGAATATTTAGTCTGTAAATCAAACTTCTTGTCATCAAAGATCAGGATCTGGCTAATAATTAAATCACATGCAGAATCTGGATGCTTAGTGGCTCTCTTTGAGAAAAAAGAAATGCAGCCTGCTTGGCGGCCCAGCCCAAAGCTAGCCTGGAGGAGCCGCAGGAGGGGCCTGCGATGGAGAAATCTAGAATCTGATTGCACACAGGCCACTGACTCACACTGTGATCTTCGGTAAGTAGGTTTACCACTCGGTGTCCTGTTTTTCCATCTGTGAGATGGGAATGATAACATGGGGCTGCTGGGTCAAGCCAGCAGATAACTTCCAGAAAGCCCTTTGAGCTTCTTGGAAACAGCACTCGAGATATGATGAGGCGCCAGCATGCTGCAGAGATGTGTGCCCAGTGGCAATTGGAATGATCCAGGTTCAGTCTGGGCAGAAGTGGTCATCGGGCTGTAAACAGAGCTTTTCAACTGCTCCACCTGGTGTCATGCATCTCATCTCCCCTTCCCCCTGCCACCCCCCTGCTTTTCTGCCCCTCCCTCCATCGCTCCCAACACAGCTCCAGCCTGAAACGCTTTCTCCCTCCTAAAACCTCCTGCTGTCACAGCCCAGTCATGTCTTACAGCAGTAATGTCGATAAGAAGCAGTCATTACTATTATAGAAGCTTCCATATTATTTTACAGGCCCTGTACTAAGTGAGTGCTTTAAAAGCATCATCTCTTTTAATTCTTACAAAAAATCACCGAGGTAAATATTCTTATTATTTCTTTTTTACAGATATTTATAAAACTGATAGCTACCAACTCCAAAACACTTTTCCTAACTTATTCCATTAAGAGACAACTCGTGCTAGGTGCTTTACATACATGGTATCATGCAGCCCTCACCACAGCCAAGCAAGATGAGACTTCCTTGTCTTTGCTTCACAGATAAGCCCCTCTGAGTCTTCATCAATGTACTCTTCCTCATACTTCAGTATATTTTCTGTGACTTTATCAAGAAGCTGTTTTGCCACTTTCCCTCGTATTTCAAGAGTGCACAAACACCTGCAGGGTATGTTTTATTTGCTGTAAAAACAAAACTCTGAAGTCTCAGTGGTTTATCACAATAAAACTAAATACAATGCGAGTTGGTAGAGGGCTCTGTTCCATGCAGTCATTCAGGGGCCCAGAATCCTTCCACTTAGTAGCTCTGCCTTTTCTATGTCTTTAAAGTCTTCTTCTTTTGGCAAGTAGATGAGAAGAGAGAGCATGAAGGATGATGTGGGAGGTTTTTAGGGGCCAGGCCTGGAAGTTGGGAATATCACTAATGCCCACCATCCATTAGCCATAACTTAGTCACAGGGTCTTACTCAACTCCCAGAGACACTGGGGAACATAATGTAGCTTGTGCCCAGGAGGCGAAAGAAGAGAATTTTTGTGAACATATAGCAGGCTCTGCCACAAAGTCTCAAGAATACACAGACGGGGAAAAGAGATGTCCTTCTTCTGTAAAAGTTCCAAAATTAAGTATTTTCAGAGCTGTGCACCTCACCCCTAGCCATGAGTAATCTCTCTACAACACACCAGCTGGGATTCCCAGCCCCTTAAACAAAAATAGAAATAAAAGGGACAGGTCCGGTGGCTCATGCCCATAATCCCAGCACTTAGGAAAGCCAAGGCAGGCAGGCAGGCAGATCGCATGAGGTCAGGAGTTGGAGAACAGCCTGGCCAACATGGTGAAACCCCATCTCTACTAAAAATACAAAAATTAGCTGGATGTGGTGGCGCACACCACCCAAGTAATCCTAGCTACTTGGGAGGCTGAGGCAGAAGAATCGCTTGAACCTAGGAGGCAGAGATGGCAGTGAGCTGAGATCATGCCATAGCACTCCAGCCTGGGCAATAGAGTGAGACTCCATCTGAAAGAGAGAAAGAAGGAAAGAAAGAAAAAGAAAGAAAGAGAGAGAAGGAAGGAAGGACGGAAGGGAGGGAAGGGAAGGAAGGGAAAAGAAAGAAAGGAAGGGAAGGAAGAAGGAAGGAAGGAAGAAGAAAGAAAGAAGAAAGAAAAGAAAAGAAAAGAAAAGAAAAGAAAAGAAAAGAAAAGAAAAGAAAAGAAAAGAAAAGAAAAGAAAAGAAATCTGCCCTGGAAGTCTTGACTCCTTGCTAATAGAACTTCCGTAGAGGAACAATAGGAAGTCTGACCACTTTCAGGTTTAAACCTGTCAATGACTCCCCAGGAATAAATCTCCTCCTCTTGTCAAGTTACACCTGCCCCTTGGGATGTGGCTCTGCTCACCTCCCCAAGCTCCTCTTCTATCACTACCGCAGTGCCGCTTGCTCTGTGAACACACTAGGCTCTTTCTCATCTCCAGGTATTTGTACACGCAGCTCCCTCTAGCTGAAATACCCAGCACTGGCCCCTACTAACAGCTATAGAGCAAGCTCCTCTTCACCCTTTAACACTGTAAAAAAGCCACTGTTTCTTGAACGCCTTCAGTGCCTTCGTAGGCTCCTACAGGCCTTATTACATTGTTATAGCTATTGGTTTGCATTTTCTCTCATGCAGTGACCTACCCCACCAAGCCCAACCTTCAGACATAACCCCTTGGAGAGCACAGTGTTTAAGGGAGGGCGGCTGGGGAGATGGAAAGAGTAGTCTCCGTGGTCCTTTAGAACTGGCTGGCCTCTCCTCACTTACTAGTTTGTAGCAGTTGCTATGCTTGGCCTACCCAACCACCCCTTTCCACAGCTTCCATTCTAGAAGAGCCCAGTTTTTCTTTCATTGCTCCTGTGTTGCTGAAAAAATCCCGATTGGTTAAAGCCAATCATGTAACTCCTCCTCCCATTTTCTTGCTAATGATTGGATGAAGAGAGAACATGTGACCCCCATGAGCAGGCATCTGCGAGGAGCTACTTGGAAAGGTTTCTTTGCTCTGTAAATAAACACAGAAGGAATGGACATTTTTCTGGCTTGAGCCATGGGCGTATGAGAGAAAGTGACACCTGAAATGGCACAACCAACAGAGGCAGAGGCAACCTAGAGGGGCTGGTGAAGGAAAAGACAGAAGGAGCTTCTGACTTCAATGATATTGTTGAGCTGCTGAATTACTCAACCCTGGAACCATCTTAACTGCATTTCTTTGTCTACGAGATTGTAAAATCCCTGATGTCTAATTCTTCTGAATCTTTGCTTCTTGTAATTTGAAGCTAGTAATGTTCTAATAGGTGACAATATAAATTCTCATCCCAAGGTAATTTATCATCCTTCACCCGTTCCCTTCCTCCCACCCTTCCAAGTCTCCAATATTATTCCACACTCTATGTCCATGTGTACACATTATTTAGCTCCCATTTATAAGTGAGAACATATGATATTTGACTTTCTGAGTTGTTTCACTTAAGATAATGGCCTCCAGTTCCATTCATGTTGTTGCAAAAGACATGATTCCATTCTTTTTCATGGCCGAATAATATTCCACTGCATATAAATACCAGTTTCTTTATCCAATCATCCAAAGATGCTATTACCAATTATATCAAGGCAACAGAAGTAAACTGTGGGACTGAACGAAGTAAAGTGGGAGGTATGCTCATCTTAATCCTAAATTAGATATATGCAAGTCAGTATATATGTTGGATATAAACTTCCATTTCATCATCTACAAAATGAGGATGAAATTATTCCATTTGTATTGTTAGTATGAGAATTAAATAAGAAGAAGCTGGGCACAGTGGCTCAAACCTGTAATCCCAGCACTTTGGGAGGCCGAGGCAGGCAGATCACTTGAGGCCAGGAGTTCGAGACCAGCCTGGCCAACATGGCAAAACCCCGTCTCTACTAAAAATGCAAAAATTAGCTGGGCTTAGTGGCACACACCTGTAGTCCCAGCTACTTGGGAGGCTGAGGCAGGAGAATTGCATGAACCCGGGAGGTAGAGGTTGCGGTGAGCCAAGTTCACGCCACTGCACTCCAGCCTGGGTGACAGAGCAAGACTCCATCTCCAAAAAAAAAAAAAAGAAAATTAAGAAGGGATGTGAAGTACCTCAAACACCTCCAACAGTGCTTAACACATAGCAGGCATCTGTCCTTCTGCCTACACACAAAGAGAATTCTGGTCTAGCCCTTCAGCTTATTTCCCTTTCTCTCTTAGAGGCTTCAACTGTTGCTCTACTGAATGTTCAGATTTTATTATACAGAATCACAAGAAGAGAGAATAGAAATAAGAGAAATGGTCCATGGCCCATAGGTTTTATGTCTGTTTCACAGTGTACAGGAAGTACAAATAAAGAATGTGAGTTATAGGAAATTAATTTTTGATTGTTTGTTTCATTAACAGTGATAGAGACTAGAGATTGAACCACAGGGCTCATGGACTTCTTAGGGCTATAAATGAGTGAATGAATAAATGGATGAATGAATATTTTATTAGGATCAACAACCAATCAAGTGTCTATCTGCCAAATTATAAGGATGAATCTGAGAAAAACTATGTGCTTAGAGAAATGTGCTTTATGCATCCCGTATTCCATTCTTTACCTATTTTTTAGTGGCTATACCTTTATACTGAGCATTCCTATGTGCTCTTGTTCTTCACATCCCAATTACAGAGTAACCCCAGAAATAAAATCAATTACAGCTATTAGATAAAACTGATGTCATAAACAAAGTTATCTTGTACTGCCACTGCCTTCGATTCAATTCAAGTCAACCAATATTTATTGAGCACCTTGGAGGTCTCATACTGTTACCTCTTCTGAGGTATCTGAATTTTGAGGGGAAAGGAAAGGACAATTTTTAATCTAAAACAATTTATTTCAAATGCACTGAGAAGCCCCCATAGGAAAATATTTATGGATTGGAATCTCTTTTGAGCCTTCATCATCCCACTAAACATTCTGCTTATCCCTGACCTACAGATTTGACAAATCTTAAATAACATAGGTGAATCATTATGTGTTAAAAATGAAGACTGCTCAAAGAACAGTCAGGTTGTTGATCAGCCAGATTGAAATTATTTTTATAACATTTTTAATGTTTTTCTTATGACTAAAGCAGCAACACTTAAGAATTCAGGACATTAACAAATGTGCAAAGAAGAAAATAAAAGTCACCAATCAGAAAACCATGGGCACTATATGCTTTCTTCCATCTTGACGCTCTTGCTTGGTTGTAGATATCTATATATTTGGGGTTGTGGCAAAAAATGTTATCACGCTCTTTAGATTACTCTGTAACTTTTTTTCATTTTATCTATCACCAATATTTCTTTCTATTCTTTAAGATCATGGTTTTAATCACTATATGTGTTGTCTTTTTTTTTTCTTTCTTTTTTTTTTTTTTTTTTTTTTTTTTCAGATGGAGTCTCACTCTGTGGGCCAGGCTGGAGTGCAGTGGGGTGATCTCGACTCACTGCAAGCCCCACCTCCTGGGTTCACGCCATTCTCCTGCCTCAGCCTCCCAAGCAGCTGGGACTACAGGCGCCAACCACCACTCCCGGCTAGTTTTTTTGTATTTTTAGTAGAGACGGAGTTTCACCATGTTAGCTGGGATGGTCTTGATCTCCTGACCTCATGATCTGCTCACCTCCAACTCCCAAAGTGCTGGGATTACAGGTGTGAGCCACCATGCCCCGCTGTGATTGTCCTTTTTTGCATTATGACTTTTTTTTTGTAAGAATCTACTGCTGAACAGCTAATTTCCTTTTTCCCTATTGTAATTTTATGACCATCTTTGTATATATATCTGGATGAATATCTTTGATAATCTGATTCTTACTCCCATCACCTCAATAATTATTATTCTATATTGTTTTTCTATTTGATAGGCAAAAAACCAGTATCTATCTTCTTGTTTTAATTTGCATTGACTTTATTATAATGCTGCTGTTGATTATCTTTTTATAACTTTAATTGGCCATTCATAGCCCTAGCCTGATTTTTCTATCTATACATTTATCTTCTTATTAATTTACACTAACTCTTCATATAATAAAATCGCTAATCATTTTACTTCCATAATGTCTATATTTTCAACTTACAGTCCTCTTTATTTTGATTTGTATATTTTCTGGTTTTAATTTTTTATTTGGTTTAATATATAACTTGTAGTTTCATCTTTTATGATTAAAAAAGGGTCCTCCAACCTGAGTTCAATAAAAGTTCATCTATATTTTTTCTAATTCATTTATAATTTCAATTTTTATATGTGACTCAATCTACTTATATTAAGTTTACTACAGGACATAAAGTAAGGGTTTTATTTTGTCAAATAATTTATCATTTGTCACAGCATTATTCTTCACCTGCTGATCATTTCTCCATTGATTTGAACTGACACCTTTATCATGAGACTTCACAAATGATTTTATTTGAACAGAGCTTCTTAAGCAAACAAATAAAATATTCTTATCTGTGCTTGAGATGATTCATGGGATTTTATATTCATTGAATTTTATATTCATTGAATTTCATCTGTCTATTTGTCATTAGACCCATACTGTTTTAATTACTGTAGCTTTATAATATGTTTTAAATTTGGTAATATAAGTCTTCTCTTATTTTTCACAAAAAACTTTATGGCTACTCTCATTTAATTTTAACTTTAAGATCATTTTTGCTTAATCTTGATGAGTTCTTTGAAAACTTTTTTCAAAATTTATTAGGCTAATTTTTTAAACTAGAGAAGATTTTGTTTCCTTTTTTAACTCTCTTATTCTTAAAGTTTTCCATTGATTCAATCAGATCATCTGCAAATAATTATATTTTTATGTCTCTATTTCTTGTTTATCTTCATCTTATGTAGTTTTCTTCCTGCCTTATTGCATTGACTAAAACTTCTTAAAAATCACTAAAAAGTAATCATGAGCATCCTTATTTATGCTTTCAATGGGAAGGCCTCCACTATAAATGATGTTTCTATTGATGTGAAAAAGAAAATCAGTATTATGTTAGAGAAGCATACTTCTACTTCTAGTTTAATGAAAGCTGTTTATTATTCTTGTTTTAAATCACATGGATTTTGAATTTACCAAGTATTCCTTTTTGATCTGTGTCAAAATAACCTTGTTGGACCATCTTATATTCCTGGTATAGACCCTACTTCACCTTGGTGGTTATCCTTCTAATGTAGGATTTCCAGTTGTGCTCCAGAAGGCACTGGGAGTCCCATGGAGCCCCTCAGGAAATAAGTGAGAGTGGGTTTAGGGAAAGATTGGGGAAGAAAGAAGGAGAGGTTGGGATTTTGGAAAAGAGGGACTCAGAAGACCCAGAAGGAGGTTCTATTCACAGTATCACTGTTGCAACAAATTAAGACTTCACAAATGATTTTATCTGAACAGAGCTTCTTAAGCAAACAAATGAAAACTTTAGCTTTATATACAGCATGATTTAAGGTCGATTTTTTTTGTCCTTATTTATATTTATAAGTGGGTGTGGCCTGCAGTTTTTCATTTTAGTGCTGCACTGGTGTATTCTCTGCCATTATCTATGGGAAGGTTTTAGGACTGTCCTGATTTCCCTAAGATTTTCCAAGTTTTATCACCAAAAGCCCCACATCCCAGAAAACCACTCTGGGAAACCAGGACAGTTGGTCACCTGGGCAGTTTCTAGAGAATGATGACTTCTTATCTCTTGAAGATGGAAAGTACCTCCCTGATAAATTCCTTTGACTCAGGATTTTGTTTTTTAAAGATGACATATTGATAGTTGTGCAAATGTTTTCCCTGGTTTCTCTACATGTATAGAGGCACATACATACCTGTATACTTACACACATACATTAATTTTTAATGAATTTTATTAATATTTCCCTAGAAAATTTGTCATGTCATTACATTTTTTAAAAAGTGATTAATATAGAAGAGTGTTTCTCAGCAGGAAGTGATTTTTGCCTCCCAGGGGACATTTGGCAATGCCTGGAGACATTTTCAGTTGTCACAACTTAGGGGTGGGAGGTCCTACTGGCATCTGGTGGGTAGAGACCAGAGATGCTGCTCAACATCCTACAATGCCCAAGACAGGCCCCACAATAAAGAATTATCCATCCCAAAATGTCAATAGTGTTCAGGTTGAGAAATCTTGATGCAGAAATATATACAACACTCCTATAACTTTAAATATCCCCTTCATATCTTCATATCCTGTTTCTCACCACTAACTTGGGGTATTTGGATTTCCTCATTTTTTTCTTTGTTAAGCTTTTCTGTAACTTGCTCTTTTAAGATTTGTTTCTTAAACAATAATCTCTTAAGTTTACTTAACCAAATTTTGATCATTTTTTAGTCCTTATTGTTTGATTTTAGCCACTTCTTTTCTTCTGCTTTTGCATGGTTTGCTTTGATGTGCTTTTTCCAAATTCTTTTGCTGAAAGCTATTAGGTGCAAGGCAATAAGACCCCTTTAGGGCCGGCATTCAGTGACACAACTGTGGCCCAACATTATTTCAGCCATCAAAGTCATGCCAAATTGTGGGGGAAAGTACTAAAAACATACGTCCTGACCTGTTTTCTGGCAAAAGTCCTAGTTCTAACAGCTGGATCAATTCAACTGATTACATTTTAATTAAGCCCACTAATACCTACAGCTACAAAATAAGACTTTCTTTCAAAAATACACAGAAATTGAGATTTTTAAATAAAAAGATTCATAAGGAGAACCAGGTTAAGTAAGATATCGAGCACATGAATGAAGGAAGAAAGGTAAGGTTATGAAGTTGGAACAGCTGGAAGGAGGGATGCAGAAAAAAAAAAAAAAACACCAAAAGTGAGTTGAATTGATGATGGTGGTGAAGAGATGATGAGAGGGGAGGAGACCTTAACAGTAGGACTCAGGATCCAAAGAGAAGACAATGCATAACAATAACGGCTGTGCTCTCCACATCCTACAAGACACATGTGGTCACTCCCACTTTGCAGGTAAGGATGTGGAGGAGAATCCGAAAGTTTGGGGAACATGCCCAGAGTCAGAGGGCTACAGGAGGCAAACTCTAGTCTCTTCTGATTCCAGAAGCCAGCGTCTTTTCCACTACACCACGTCACCTTGCAAATTATTCCTCGCAGGTAAGAACTAGTCTAAGAATCTCACTACAAAGCAGTTTCTCCAACGTCCTCTGCTTCACACACTTCCGCCTGAAGGAACACACCCACAACTAAGAATTCAGCTAAGCTGGGAAAAGTCCACATGAGGAACATAAATCTCTAGTTTACAGGAACAAGGAAAATCCCCCTTGGGAAGATTCTGGAGACAGCTCAAAAAGACAAAGTCTGGGAATTTAGAAAGAAAGGCTAAAATGTGTTCAACCACAATTTTTATGAGTTGTCACATCCCGAGGGCACCCACATCCATGGAGATTGATGGCGAGGAAGCTTATTATTTGATCGTGTGAAGGTTGCCAAATGCCCAGTGGGGCAGTGAGGGTGGAAAGAAGGACAAGCTTTCCTTCTATGTGGCATCTGCGTACAGGATTTGGCAGCTTTGCCTCTGCTTAGGTTTGCCTGTGAAACCACTTTAATTCAACCCAATAAACATTAACCCAGTGTTGGAGATCTAGAGATCATAAAATAACAATCTCTGAAGAAAACTCACAATTAAGTAGAGGAGGCAGGTCCACAAACAAATAACTGCAGCAATCTGCTCCATGATCGGGATGTTACTGCCAAAGAAAAGTTGGTTGGGAGGGGAAGCGTTCCATTGTCAAATACGAAATGCTGTTCTCTTCACTGCGGGACTTCTCAGGGCCTTTACTCTGCAAGTGTCTCTTTGTAAACTTCCCTGACTTGGCAGCATACAGTTAGCAGCACTCGCCAACTATATTTGACCCTGAAAGCTCTTTTTACCTAAGGAACGTCTTAGAGAACTAGTGTGTTCCCCTCTCCACTAGAGAAATTTAGACGAAAGGAGACTAGAACTAGATAGAATTGGGGTTCATGAAGTGGACTATTGGAGGTGACAGAGAGGAGTTTGGGGAAGCTTGGGGATAATTTGCAGAGGCAGCGATAATTTGAACTGTCATGAAGATGAAGAAGAATTGATCAAACAGGTAGTAGAGGGAGGTGGGAGAGAGTGGAAAGGGCTTTTGAGAAAGAAGCAATAGCGTAAGTCAAGAGAGTCATGGATCACGTGGCATATTCAGAAAACAGTGGAAAACTGGGGGCAGGTCTATGCTTCCAGAGCATAGTATGATCCATCCTTCACGCATCACCTTCTCTTGCTACCTACCCATGCTTGCTTTGGTGTAGTAGAAGAAATGCAGCCCTTGCTCAAGCTTCCTGGAGTTCTCATCCACTGAGCCCACATTTTTCCTGTTATTTCTAAGATAATAAAGTATTGTGGTATGCGTTCATGCATGGGTTTGGAGTCAGAAAGTCCTGGATTAAATCCCAACTACTCTCTTTCTATTGTCTGAGTTTGCATAAGCCATTGTCTCTTGTTCTGCCTCAGTTTCCTTGTCTATATGGTGGAGATGAGAAAAAGCACCTACCTCCTATTGTACTAATAAGCAAATGGCCAGAAGCTGTGCACATATAGGGACTGCTCAATGGTGGTAGCTATTAGTATTGATGATTATTAATATTTTTGCGCCATTTGAGAAATGAGTATTCTTTGGGAATATCAGCCCCTTGCATAATATATACCACATAGTAGCATTTATGGGAATGGTCACCCAAGTGCCCCTCATCTTTTGCTTTACAGTTTATAGAGAATGCCTTAAAGGAGTAAGGACCATGGGCTCAAGCCAGACTTACAAGATCTGTGACCTTGAACAAGTTACATGACCTCATAAGCCTTCATTTTCTTATCTGTAAATTGGGGATTAAATGACACCAACCTCGTCGAGTTGTTGTGAAGTATAATTGGGTTAATTATGCATAACATTTCAGCAGAGCGACAGGCACAAACTAAAGTGCTGTGTGCTGTTTGCTATTATGATTTCATAGTTTCTTCCTCTGCAGATATTCCCTGGGACCCAAACCTGAAGCCCCTGGGCTGCCCTTCCTCAGCGGGGCTGACTGGAGCAGTTACTGATGGCACCAGCTTAAAGAGGAAATGGAGAGTGTGTTTGCGTGTTTTCTGCCATGAAATAGGCATCCTGAGACAATCTCTTCATAACTGATGTAGCCCAGCCCTCTGTACTGAAATTGCTGGACTCACACGAGGCCCAGATGTGGTTTAAAGAGCATGTGGGGGAAATTTCCGTAGGAGCAACACAGATCTCTCTATTCAGAGTTTTTCTTGTGGGCAGCTTGCATTTACTCATTCTTTCATTCCAGAAGTATTTATTTAGCCCCTGCTATGTGCCAGGCATTGTGATAATAGTTGGAATGCAGAGGTGAATTAAAGAGTATGGGCTTGTCTATATAAATAAATAAATATATATGTATATGTGTGTGTATAACACCTATTATATATATTATGTATTAGGTGTGTGTTGTATATATATGTTTATATATGTGTGTGTTTATGTATAAGTATATATGTGATAAGAGTTTATAATCCTATATAGAGACAGATGTATTAAAATGGATTTTTTTTTTTTTGAGACAGAGTCTTACTCTGTCATCAAAGCTGGAGTGCAGTGGTGCAATCTAGGCTCACAGTGACCTACACCTCCCATGTTCAAACGATTCTCCTGCCTCAGCCTCCCAAGTAGCAGGGATTACAGGCACACGCCACCACATCCAGGTAAATTTTTTTATTTTTAGTAGACTTGGGGTTTTGCCATATTGGCCAGGCTGGTCTCTAACTCCTGACCTCAAGTGATCCACCCACCTCAGCCTCCCAAAGTGCTGGGATTATAGGCATGAACCACCGCCCCCTGCTAAAATGGCTTTTATTCTGGTGGATAAATAAAGAAAACAGACCAGGACTTCTGCAAAATAATTTTTTTGCTACGGGCAAAGAAAATATAAATTTCTTTTTACTATAATACAATTTAGCAAACATTAACTGAGCATCTACTGTGTGCATAGCCCCATGCTGGGTTCTCTGAGGATACATTCATGAATAAGAGGCTACCCTCAGAAAGCTCATACTCTGGTATGATTATGAGCCAAAGATATTCATTTCTTACAGTGTCCATCACTAGCTAGTGGAGGGAGCAGTATGGCCTAGTGGGTGGTGAGTGCCTACAGCCTGCTCTCAGGTCATCTGAGTCTAAGTCACGTGCATCAGGCACCTCCTAGCTGTGACCTTAGGCAAGTGATCTAACTGGGCCTCAGTTTCTTCATCTGTCAAATTGTGCATAAAAATAGTGCCTACTGGGCGGATCACGAGGTCAGGAGTTTGAGACCAGCCTGACCAAAATGGTGAAACCCCATCTCTACTAAAAATACAAAAAGTAGCCAGGTGTGGTGGTGGGTGCCTGTAATCCCAGCTACTCAGGAGGCTGAGGCAGAAAAATTGCTTGAACCTGGGAGGCGGAGGTTGCAGTGAGCTGAGATTGTGCCACTGCATTTCAGCCTGGGTGACAGAGCAAGATTCTGTCTCAAAAAAAAAAAAAAAAAAGATAATAATAATAATAATGCCTACCTTTTGGGGTAATTGTACAAATTCAATGAAGTTCTGTACGTCAGGGGCTGAGCAAGGAGTATGGCATGCATTAAACACTCACAACTTAGTGAGTAACAGAGGAGTAGAAGAGTATTATTTTAAAAGCACTTTTATTGAATTAGTAAGTGCTGGATTCAATGAAGAAGACTTGGTGAGGTTTTTAAAAAAATTTTTGTTTTAATTTTTCCAATGAGGGTTTTTGAGTTTTTTTGTTTTTTTTTTTTTGTTTTTTGATAGTCAGAATTGACCTTCCTGCATTCTACTGCATTTTTCTGTTGCAGAAACTGCTTATTTTTAAAGGCCCTGAACTTAGCTTCTCTTTGCCTTTAGACAAGTCTCACCTGAGGGCTCTATATAGACCAAAGGACCTATTTAGAGTGACCAACTGTCCCCGGGTGCCAGAGCCTGAAGGGTTTTCTAGGACATAGGACTCTCAGTGCTAAAACCAGGACAGTCCTGGGCAAACCAGAGTGGCTAGTACCCCTCCTGGGTACATAACAAGAAGGTGCACATGTACAGTCTCTCTGGGTGTCCGCAAGTGTGGGCCTCAGAAAATGAAAGTGACACCCGGACAACACACAGCTGTGTCTGGCACCCGAAGGACAAGGTCCACAGGACAGAGCCCTAGCAGCCTGAGACCTGCATGCATCTACCCCACCTAAGGCTGCCTCTGCCACAGCACAGCCTGCTGGTGACTCAGCAGCCTTCTAGGTCCTGAGCCGCAGCTTCCAATCACTGAGAGCAGCTCTTGCTCCTGATACTAGTTATCAGTGACTCTTATTAGGTATACTAGTTATACTAGGTATGAGTGACTCTTGAGTCACTCAGAGAGGATTCGGAATGGAGGTAGGATGGAAGAATTAGCAACTGCATGCGAGGTGCAACATGAGAGCCATGGCTTTGTTCTTAGGGTTGGTTCTGGATTCAAATTTAGCTCTGCTACTCTCTAGTGACATGACTTTGGACAAGCTACCTACCTCTTCTGAGCCTCATTTTCCTATTTGGAGAACTACATAACACATGTCACCTACTTAGCGTAGGGAAGGGTACACAGACAGGACTTCATAAATGGCACTCATCAATGACAATTGTTGCTACTATTGTACTGGCATGATCACACATAGTATTGACATGATCATAAAAACACATTATTGTGACTAGCATCGACAGGATTATAAATAGTATTGACATTATCGCAAATTGGGAACATGGCTATTCCTCCCTCCTCATCCTTTAAGCCATTTAAAATAGCTGCAAAATCCAGACCAACACTTCAAACAGAAACACAAACACAAAAATTTAGAAGTGGTGGTGAGTCTCTTTACAAGTTCAAACAAACAAACAAAAAAAAGATGTTCAAGTAGGATACATTAAAAACACGTAGATTCGATTTTTAAAATCTCTACTTTTTTTTCCAGCTTTGGAAGAGACAATTCTTCCAAATTCTCATGGTCTAAATCAATCTCTCCCAAAGTATGTTTAGGTAAAAATATGTATTATTTTATGAAATAATAAAATAAAATAAAATAAAGGAGGTAGTCCAGGAATTAAATGGGTTTGGGGAATATTGAACTAAATTAAATGTAATGAGTTTCTTTACTGCAAGACTTCTCAAAGCTTTTACTACACGGATCAATTTCCTGACTCTCCGAGAGGGGAAGCATGTGATGCCGTCCCCCTATTGACTTGGTAATGCCACCCTTTGTTCATGGAACATGGACTAGGGTTGGGTGGAATGGAGTTGAAAAGTTCTAATTCAGATGTTTCTGCCGAAGTTCTAGATTCTTCCTCATCTCAGTCCACACCCCATCGCATGGCTTCCTAGGGAATTCCTACTTTATTCCTGGTCTCTGAATCCTTCCACTTGGCCACTCAAGAGCTCTGACTCATTCCTGAGCTTGGCCTTTACTCCTAAGTGGGTCTGAATTCTACCCACTGACCTCCCAAGGAATAGGACACTAGAATCTGAGCAAACATGGAAACTTTTCTCTGTATCTCATCCCTCCTTTCTGGGAAACTGGGTGTTGTTGTTGTTGTTTGATCTACCAATATGTTTCATTTCTCCTCAGAGAGCATTGCTATTCGATGAAGATGATGGACATGTTGATGCTCCTCATGATGATAAAATAAGAAATAGCTTATCTTTACAGAGCAGATACTATGTGCCTGGCACTGTCCCTCATCCCTGTGCAGTGGATACTATTATAAATGAGGAAACTGAGGTTACAGGAAGGTCTGTGGCTTTCCCATGATTACCCACCTAGTAAGTTGTAGAACCTGTCTCTACATGAATGATCTCATTCGAGACCACCAGAAAATTGACTTAATTCAGAACTCATTTTTTTAAACTACATGATGCTGATTTTTCTCAAAAACATAAGTAAAGATCCTAAATGAACTCTAACAGGCAGACCCTCATCAAAATGATCACATCAAGTAGGTTTGGGAAATATCGAACTAAATTAAATTTAATGAGTTTCTTTACGACAGAACTTCTCAAAGCTCAAACGAGGGCCCTGTAAACCCTCAGCTTCCTTTAAACACTAACTTAGGATACCTCAAAATATAAGATGAGCACCCCAAGCCCCATACAATATGGCGACCAATGACGTGAGCCTTGAATAACCATCTTCCACCATCTGTTTCAGCTTGGCAGGGGAAACAAAGGCATACAGCCCCAGGTTACATGCTGATGTGACTCACAGATGTGTTGGCTTTACCCTATCTCTGCCATTGGCATTCTTTTATTCCATCAGCATCTCAGGGTTTTGTTTTGGGTTTTTTTCTTCTAAATAATGGGGTAATGAAGCAACCCTATCCTATGCCAAAAGATGCTTTCCTGACCTGGGGTACTCACAAGTCCAACCCTTCAAGTTATTAATTACAAGCCCAGAATCACCTCCGCCCAGTCCCCCACCCCAGCCAGCAGAGATAAGGTGCTGTCCTACTTCCTCCAGCAAACTGTCTCCTTGTCACGTCGTTGGCGCCACCGAGGTGACTGGCGCCCGCCACACCTTCCTGCCCACCCCGTGAGGTGGCAGCTTATCATCTGAGAGTGAAGTGATGCGTGTGTCCACACACAGGCTGGTTGCAGACAGTATTTGCAGGCTTGTAAAAGGTGCTATATAAATCAATTATTAATACTAATCAGAACATGATGGCCCCACTAGCAGGAGAGGGGAGGCCCAGACGTGGGGGCCACACCCTCCTTGACACAGTCAGTCAGGAGCCAGGTATCTCACGAGTTATAAAGAGATGTGAGGAGAGATGACCCAAGAGTGATAAGAATTAACCTCTTCTCCACGGGTCCCACCTGGCCCTTCAAAAGCCTCTGCCTGACAGCACTGCCTAAGTTAAAGAAAGTTCTGGAACTTTAGAATGACAGGACTTTGAGAGCAAGGCCTTGGTGCCAGTACTTAGTCCTACGCTCTCTGTTGGATTCAGTCAGGGCTGTAGTTTATCCTCATTGGACTCTAGAGGGTGCCTACCAAGACATATTTCTCACAACCAGGTTGTCACTTCTTGACATTGGGTGGCGCCATTCACGGACCATGGATCTGGGTTTATTTTCTTAAGCCACTTTCTGTTTCCCCCTTGGGATCCACCTTGTGAGCTTGGAGCCAAAGAAACCATTTCTTCATGTAATAGATGTGATGAATTGATTTCAGGTTTATTCTCAGATGTTCCAAGATCCTGGTCTAGTTTGGTTACCCTCCTAAGAGCATTCAAATTATCTTCATGGGTGGTACGAAAGTCACACAGACAAACAAAAACCAAAATAAGTATCACCCATCACCAGAAAGTAATAAGTATCATGTATCCCATGACCCTTGGAATCTGCTACTGTCAAGGTGGCATATCCAAAGTGGACAATCTTAGTTGATTCATTAGTGATTGACAGTTAGTTGACAATTAGTGATTAACACTAAATCCTAAAGGTTGGATATCCCTGTCCTAAAAAAATTGATAATAAAAATGAATATTTGTTCAGCATGAATATCCTAAGAATCTAAAGTACCAAGAAAGGTGGCATAAAACGGAGGAAGGATCCTGGAGGAAATGAAATGGAAGAGACCCAGAGAGTCATCGCACAGAAAAAGCCTGGGATAGATGAGCAATGATGGATCTAGATAGCAGACACCACTCCAGGGAGATACCAGCCTCAACTCGCTTTTATTCTGGGGTGGACAGTAAAGTCAGTGTAGGCAGAATAATGCCCAACCCCCACCCCAAAGACTTCCACATCCTAATCCCTGGAATCCCCAGAATTTGGGAATATGTGACCTTACATAGCAAAAGAGACTCGTAGATGTGATTAAGCTAAGGACCCTGAGATGAGGGGATTATGCTGGATTACCCAGGAGGGTCCAATGTCATCACAAGGGTCTTCATAAGAAAGAAACAGGAGAGGCAGAGACAGAGGAGATGTGAAGGCAAGCAGAGATCAGGGCAATGCAACTACTGGCTTTGAAGAACAGAAGGGGGCCGTGAGCCGAGGCCTGTGAGCAGCCTCTAGGAGAAAAAAAGAAAAAAGCAAGGAAACTGATTCTCGTCTAAAGTGTCCAGAAGAGATGCAGCCCTGCCAAGACCTTGATTTTAGAACTTATTATCTCCGGAATTGTAAAAAAAATTGTAAATATGCATTGTTTCAGGCCACTGCATTTGTGGTAATTCTGTTGCAGCAGCAGTACTAAATTAATATAATGGGTAAGTTTGGGCTGTTCTCCAATCTCAGCCCTCTTAGGCACCCTGAAGAGCTGTGGTCAGTTGCAGGGTGTGACACATAACTTATTTCTAATCATTATTCAATCACTAAAGTTTGGGAATTATTTACTTAAAAGTTTAGGCCAGGCGCAGTGGCTCACGCCTGTAATCCCAGCACTTGGGGAGACTGATGCAGGAGGATTGCTTTAGTCCAGGCATTCAAGACCAGCCTGGGCAACAAGACAAAACCGCATCTCTACAAAAAATAGAAAAAATTAGCCAGACATGGTGGCACATGCTTGTAATCCCAGCTACTCGGGAGGCTGAGAGAGAAGGATTGCTTGAGTCCCAGAAGGGGAGGTTGCAGTGAGTTGAGAGTGCACCACTACATTCCAGCCTGGGTGACAGGGTGAGACCTTGTCTCAAAAAAAAAAAAAAAAAAAAAAGATTTAGAATAGGTTTCTGCATTTATTCATTCATTCAATAAATATTTATTGAACACCTCCTATGTGCCAGGTCTCTTCCTGGTGCTGGGATGAAGAGGTAATTGAGCCAGGTAAATAGCTGCCCCCATGAAAGTGACAATCTAATGGAATGACTCTATGGTGAAGAGGTGAACAGTTGAATGACTCACGTCATTGCAGATAATGATGAGGGCCATGAGGATGCTGGAGAGTGGACCAGAAACTGACCCTAACCCCACCCATGCCCACAACAGGGCACGTTCTGCAGGTCAACATCTCTGCTTAGGAAGCATTGCGGGAGATTCTATGCCAAGGAACATTTGAACCCTGCTGATGATGTTAGGGAAGACACTGTAGGTGATAGCAGAGTCTTAAGGGGGTTGAAGAAACGTGGGGTCAAGCCACTTAAGGGGTGCCCAGGCTACTTCCTATGGGCATCTCACAGGTCTCCTCAACCCAGTGACTTCGGGGCTATACAATAGCACTACCTGGGTGGCTTTTTAGTTGTTATTTTAATTATACAGTGGAAAGACAGTTTGGACATATAAACAAACACTTCTCAAATTCCAGCTGGCACATAGATCCCCTGGAACCTTGTCAAAATGAGACTGGTTCAGCAGGTCTGAGGTGGGGCCTGAGATTCAGTATTTCTTGCCAGCTCCCAGGGAATGTCCAAGCTGCCAGGCCACGGACCACACGCTCTGGATTAGCAAGGGGGTGGACAACCAAATTAGCCAAATTCCACCAACAGCCCCCAAATGGGTAAATCGCCAAGTGCAAAGGGTTAATAGTTATCTTCTTGTAACACCCCAGTAGTTTTCTGCACATGGGCTGCAGGGTACACTTATACTCTGACACTTACTAATTGTGGCATCTGGGGTAAGTTACTTCATGACCCTGTGCCTCAGTTTTTCCATCCATAAAATGGGATCATGATGGTATCTACTTCAGAGAGTTGTTATGAGGATTCAATGAGTAAATACAGGAAAAGTACTGCATGTCGTCAGTGTTCAATGTGTGGTAGCTATCCGAACTAACGTTTCTTCCCCTCTTTAGACCATAGCTTCATAAGGACAAATTTTGCACCTGATATTTTAAATGTGCTCTATGCTGAGCCTGGATTCTGGCACTTAGTAAGTGCTTTATATGTCTGTCACATCAATCAATGGCTTAATGAATGAAAGGATACAAGCAAACCAAATAAATTTAGTTTGTTTTGTTTTGTTTTGTTTTGAGGCAAAGTCTTTCTCTGTCACCCAGGCTGGAGTGCAGTGGTGTGATCTCGGCTCACTGCAACCTCCGCCTTCTGGGTTCAAACGATTCTCCTGCCTCAGCCTCCTGAGTAGCTGGGATTATAGGCGTGCACCACCACACCTGGCTAATTTTTGCATTTTTAGTAGAGATGGGGTTTTGCCATCTTGGCCAGGCTGGTCTCGAACTCCTGACCTCTAGTGATCCGCTTGCCTTGGCCTTCCAAACTGCTGGGATTATAGGCATAAGCCACCGTGCCCAGCCTCCAAATGAGTTTATTTTCAAAGGCACCGTCAAAGGAAGAAAAGGGGAAAGGGGGTAAAGGGAGAAATTCACATTTATTGATTAGCTATCCTGTGCCCAGCATGGCACCAGTTGCTTTTCATACACCATTATAGTTCATGCAGTCAAGAGGCCTAAGACAGAAGAAAGAGAGATCCTGCAGGTTGAGGCTTAAAGAGGCAAAAACACTTGCTCAGGATCTCGTGGCTGTTAAGTGACGAAGGTAGGGTTCAAAGCCATGCCTGCCCAAGCTGGTTTTCCTCACCAACCCTGTGACACAAAACCTTCTCTGACCCCCGGTATTTCCCATTAAGAGAATTAGTCACCGTTGGCTTTGATCGGCTGGGCTGGGCTGGCAATGTAGTCCTTAATGGCATTTCTCTCAGGCCCTTATCTTTATTAACTGTGAATTTATCTTCCTCCAGAGATAGGGCTCTGGGTGAAGGGCCCCCTGCCCACACCTAGGCAAGTCTTACCTGCTCTGAACGGACCAGCAGGTGACTGTGAGTCCTTTAATTGCCTTCTTCCTCACCTAACCCCTTCCCTTAAGTTCAAACCTGCACTGTAAACATGATCTCCAGGACCAAAGGTAAGGGAGGTGAAGCTTGTGGATATTAACCCATAAAAACCCTTGATAAGCCCAGCGCATTTCATAGCACCATAAATTAATTCTTGTCCTTCATAGCCTGTGAGGAGAGCAGAAGATGAAGAGCAAACTGAGGAGTCACGCAAGGCCAATGATTGCACAATTGGCGCCGAGAGATGCTATCTGAGTCGGAACAGAAGAGGCTGACCCCAGAGTGTCCCCTTCTAGCAGGTGAAGGGTTTGGGCCAGATCATCCTGTATGGATTGTGACATTGTATGAATTCGAAAACGAAAGAAAGCGCTCTGTGAAGGGGCATGAAAGGGCTTGTCCAGCCAGCATTTCATGGCCTGAGACAGTTCCTCTTAGAGTCCATGAGATATAAACAGGTGACTTTTTGTCAAGGCAGAGATTTCCCCCCAATTAGATTGAAACCCCCCTCCTCAGGGTGAGCCTAGAATTAGTGCAGTTTTGATAACTCAAAGAGTGATTGAACTCATTTCAGCCATGTCCTCAAAGTTCTGACCCCAGAGGCCACCTAAGTTCGCCATTTTCTGCAAGTCTTATGGTTCTAAAAAGTTATCTCTTATAATGCTTGAAAAGAAGGTTTAAGAATTTTCCAGTGTATGATGGTTCCGAACAAGCAGAGTCATTTCTCAAGAATTGTTTTTGCAAGGTTGTTTACGACTGGCTTTCTCACTTGTTTGCTTCCTTCTAACACAATTTTCTGAATACCGGCCATGTGCCAGATATTATATTATCAGCCACGGTATACCAGATATACATTTATGGCTTCCTGAAATTCCTGACCTAGTGGAGAATAAAGATTAATCTACCAGAAACTATAATACACTGTGACAAGTTACATGATTAGAGAGAAAATACAGTTGGGATTTTAAACGAACCACCACATGGGCTTGCTTTTGCTACACAGCAAATATCTCTCAAATTCTTCATTCATTTGGAGTCAGCAAATATTTGGAGAATACGAAATCACTTCATTAGTAGCTGAATGCAACCTACAAGGTAATCCATATAACACACTCCAAGGCCAATCATCAAATTCATTTGAATATTCCACTTCTTGGGGTTTCGTGCTCATCAATTCCCTACATGTATAGATGGTATGAGATAGCCCATACTTCAAATGTTTCAAAAATATTATTTGAGTTGTCAAACATTATAAAATTAAAAACTCACTTAGGCAATGTAGAAAAGAAGATGAGTCAATATCTTTAAGAGTGTGACTTTGAGAAATTGGCTTAGGACAGAGATAAGGTAAAATTCAAAAACTCATTTTTGACCTGAAAAATATGTTGCCCTCCCTAAGACTTACCAAAAACAAAAAGAAAAAAAAACAAACATATCGAACTCAGATCCACAACCTGATTTTCAAAATCAGTCTACACAAATATTCATGTTTAAAGATGTCCTTCACGGTGTTATTTATAATACAAGAAACTTGAAAGACCCTACAAGTTCATTAGTAGGAGAATGGTTAGCTAGCAATTAAGTAGCAAATAAAAACATTTAGAAAGCTTTTACTGACATGTAAAAGAAAGATTTCTGATGCTAGGATGAAAGGCAGAATACAAAATAAAATATTAAATAGTTTTAAATAAGTTTTAAGGATCGAGAATAAAGAAAGACACCAAAATGTTAACAAAAGTTGCCTCTGGGCAATGGAAATGATATTAAACAAATGAGATTTGGTGCTTGAGACCTTTGGATCAAATCCTGGCTTCACCACCTTTTACTTGGATTTCTTTTTCTTTTTCTTTTATCCTAAAACATTAGTATTTTATTTTTATTTTTTTATTTCCATAGGTTTTGGGGGAACAGGTGGTGTTTGTTTACATGAGTTACTTCTTTAGTGGTGATTAGTGAAATTTTGGTGCACCCATCACCCGAGCAGTATACACTGAACCCAATTTCTAGCCTTTTATCCCTCACCCCCTTCCCATTCTTTCCCCCTGAGTCTCCAAAGTCCATTGGGTCATCCTTATGCCTTTGCGTCCTCATAGCTTAGCTCCCACCTATGAGTGAGAACGTACGATGTTTGGTTTTCCATTCCTGAGTTACTTCACTTAGAATAATAGTCTCCAATCCCATCTAGGTTGCTGCAAATGCCATTAATTCATGCGTTTTTATGGCCAAGTAGTATTCCATTGTGTGTGTATGTGTATATATATACACATATATATATACACATACACACACATATATACACATATATATATACATACACACACATACCACAATTTCTTTATATGTATATATATGTGTATATATGTATATGTGTATATATGTGTATGTATATACACACTACATATGTGTATATATGTGTATGTATATACACATACACACACATGCCACAATTTCTTTATCTACTTGTTGATTGATGGGCATTTCTGTTGGTGCCACATTTTTGCAGTTGCGAATTGTGCTGCTATAAAAATGTGTATGTAAGTATCTTTGGATTAATATTCTCTCTCAACTTCTTTTTCATCTTCTAAAAAATGGGCTCATAACAATACCTGCCTCATAGTGCTGCTGTAAGAATTAAAAGAAATAATGCAAGTATGGGAGCATAAATTAGTTCAGCCATTGTGGAACACAGTGTGGCGATTTCTTAAAGAACTTAAAATAGAATTACCATTCAACCCAGCAATCCCATTACTGGGTATATACCCAAAGGAATATAAATCATTCTACTATAAAGACACATGCATGTGTATGTTCATTGCAACAGTGTTCATAATAGCAAAGACATAGAGTCAACCTAAATGCTCATCAACAGTAGACTGGATAAAGAAAATGTGGTATATATACACCACGGAATACTATGCAGCCATAAAAAAGAATGAGATCATGTCCTTTACATAGAACATGGATGGAGCTAGAGGCCATTATCCTAAGCAAACTAACACAAGAACAGGAAATGAAATACTTCATTTTCTCACTTATAAGTGGAAGCTAAACAATTAAAACACCTGTAATCCCAGCACTTTGGGGGGCCAAGGCAGGCAGATCACGAGGTCAGGAGATCGAGACCATCCTGGCTAACACAGTGAAATCCCATCTCCACTAAAAATACAAAAAAATTAGCCAGGCTGGTGGTGGGCGCATGTAGTTCCAGCTAATCGGGAGGCTGAGGCAGGAGAATGGCATGAACCCAGGAGGCGGAGCTTGCAGTGAGCCGAGATTGAGCCACTGCACTCCAGCCCGGGCCACAGAGAGAGACTCTGTCTCAAAAAAAAAAAAAGTGGACACAAAGAGGGGAAAAACAGACACTGAGGCCTACTTGAGGATGGAGGATGGCAGGAGGGAGAGGATAAGAATAAATATCTGTCGGGTACCATGTTTATTACCTGGGTGATGAAATAATCTGTACACCAAACCCTTGTGACACACAGTTTACCTATATAACAAACCTGCACGTGTACCTCTGAACCTAAAATAAACGTTTAAAAAATAATATATACTAAATGATTAATAATGGAAACTATTATATGTGAGCATATGTAATACAATATTATGGGTATATACTTTAATAAGCTTTCCACAAGTTAAATATACTATACATGGCATCAGAAACAGATTGATCTTAAACTTTTTAAATTTTACAATTAGAAATAGAATTTCAGATGTCAAACTGCCATCAAATAGGCTTAGTTCCATTGTTCCAGTGCTTTAGCAATGAACCAGGCTTGGCAGGGGTTGTGGTGATTCAAAACTCTGAGCAAGGTTTAAATGCTGATAGGGATCATTTCTTACCTTTATAGAGAAACGTTCATAAATCATGAGAGAGGGTTTGAATCTCTGTGTATTTGTCCTATGAGTATAAAGTAAGGTTGTTTTCTTGTAAGCAGAGAAGGAGATTTTTACTGTTCATATAAAGTGAATTTATGGAAGCCGGGCACAGTAGCTTGTCCTACCTGTAATCCTAACTACTTGGGAAGCCAGAGCAGGAGGATCCCTTGAGGTCAGGAGTTCAAGACCAGCCTGAGCAACATAGCCAGACCCTGTCTCTAAAAAAGAAGAAAAAATGAATTTTAAAGAAAAAATAGGAAAAGGGGGGAAAAAACAAAAAAAAAAAGTGAGTTTATGACTAGCTGGAAAACACAAAGAACTAGCATTTAGAGTATAAATTCCTAAAGGGCTAGAACTTTCCATGAAGAGATACCATTTTTCTTGCTCAAATTTTAGAAAACAAATGGGGAGAAAAATGATTGCCTATTAGAAGTTTAGTAAACAGAGACAGAACTTCCAGAAGTAACATCCACATGTTCTTTCCCTGACTCCCAGAATCCAGAGACCCATGAATAACCAACCATACTGAAAATGGAGGCAAAATGATGAGCTCGTATGAGAAATCTCATTGCCTTCCATCACATTCTCAAAGCAACCTCTGACTCCCAGATAGTTGGGAAACTCTGTCTTATATCTTCAAAGTTGGATGAAAGGAGATATTTCAAATGATGGATCACAAGACACACAAGGAAATATGTAGTTTCATAGACTTCTCTAGGCTGGCCTAGCTCACTACTCTGTGCCTGGCACATAGTAGGCACGAAATGAATGAATGAATGAAGAAATGAGATACAAAGATTACCCACACAAAACGATGGATGTGCCAGGTATCCAGATTTTATGTTAAATCTCAGTTACCCACAAAATCCACTTTCTTTAAACACCCAGTCTCCTGAACATACCAATTAATATTATAATGTTTGAAGTGTTCTTTTCACGGAAGCTGCAGAGATGGAAGTTCTGACAATCTATCCAATGTCAGAGGCAAAGAAGGACCAACAGGTTGGAATCGTGCAGAGTAAATATTTAAACATGGGTAGTTCAATAGCTGTTAAATAGGTTCAGTAACAGGCTCATTTTTAAACGTCAATACTCTTACTAATGGTAATGCACTAGCCTTCAATAGAAGGGAGGCAACTGAGTTGAAGTCATTTTTAATCAGAAGTCAACAGGAACTAGTGTCTCAGACAAGCCCCCACCACCCATCCACTAAATTGGTAAAAACAAAACAACAAATGAAATACAGTTTTCTATTTCCCAGAAGCCAAGCCTTCATGGATTGCTGAAGTTGATGAGGTCCACGGATTTTACCTGGGCAGGGTGAGGATAAGGAATGACTGGGGAAAGACAAGTAAGGCAAGGGAATAGGGAATCTGAGTTTTCTCTCGGATTGTTTTTGTTAAGGGGAACTGTTAAAAACTTTCATTTTGCTCGGGCGCGGTGGCTCACTCCTGTAATCCCAGCACCTTGGGAGGCCAAGGCGGGCGGATCACGGTCAGGAGATCGAGACCATCCTGGCTAACACGGTGAAACCCAGTCTCTACTAAAAATACAAAAAAAAAAAAAAAAAATTAGCTGGGCGTGGTGGCAGGTGCCTGTAGTCCCAGCTACTCGGGAGGCTGAGGCAGGAGAATGGTGTGAACCCAGGAGGCAGAGTTTGCAGTGAGCCGAGATCACGCCACTGAACTCCAGCCTGGGCGACAGAGCAAGACTCCATCTCAAGAAAAAAAAAAAAAACAAAAAAAAACTTTCAAGTTCAGGGGTATATGTGCAGGTTTGTTCTACAGCTAAACTCGTGTCATGAGGGTTTATTGTACAGACTATTTTGCCACCCAGGTATTAAGCCTAGTACCCATTAGTTATATTTCCTGATCTTCTCCCTCCTCCCACACTCCAGTCTCTGGTAGGCCACAGTTTGTTGTTCCCCTCCTTGTGACCATGTATTCTCATCATTTAGCTCCCACTTACAAGTGAGAATATGCAGTATTTGCTTTTCCGTTTCTGCGTTAGTTTGCTAGGGATAATGGCCTCCAGCTCCATCCATGTTCCTACAAAGGACATGATCTTTTTCTTTTTTACGGCTACGTAGTATTCCATGGTGTGTATGTACCACATTTTCTTTATTCACTCTACCACTGATGGGCATTTAGGTTGATTCCATGTCTTTGCTATTGTGAATAGTGCTGCAATGAACGTATGTATGCATGTGTCTTTATGGTAGAATAATTTATATTCCTTAGGGTATATACCCAGTAATGGGATTGCTGGGTCGAATGGTAGTTCTGTTTTTTAGGTCTTTTAGGAATCGCCACGCTATTTTTCATAGTGGTTGAACTAATTTACACTCCCATCCACTCTCTCAGATTATTTAAACAAGCAAAGACTTGGCTTTTTAACCTGGCTGCAGGTAGTAGCTGTGAAGCCTTGAGTAAGGAAGTTAACCACCTGAGCGTGGTGAATGCCATGTGCCCTCCCAGCCCCCAGCTCCCTGAGTCTTATGTTTCTATTTCACTTTCCTATTTCAGTGCAAGTAGTCAGACTTACAGCTGTCAGCACCTGGACTCTTCAGCCTGAGGTTTTTTTCTGCCTGTGCACAGGCCATGGAAGAAGTGGCCTGAATCAGTGCTTCCACCCAGTGGCCCTCAATCATTGACGGACAGGAACTGGCCTCTTCTCTGCAGTGCCTGCTCTGCACTGACTCTCAGTGTTCCTGGGGAGGATTGAGCCCCTGTTTCCTGCAGAGGTGACCTGCTCACTTCCCACCCAGTGCTCCAGGATTAACTCCCAAATAAAGCACTTTCACCTGATATCTTGTCTCAGGTCAGGGCATCACTCTGGGACCCCCAAAAAAGACTGGAAGTGTCTGTCTCTCTATCTGCAAAATGAGGACAGTAATAGCACCTACCTTAGAGGCCCGATGTATAAATTAAATGTGATAACCTTATGAAGCATTGCACCATGCCTGGCACTAACCAGGAACTCAATAAGTATCAGCTATGGTCATTATTAATCCCATACATCAAAATAAGCATCCTTCAACTTACTAAAAAGATGGTAGGCTTTTATTTTCTTCTTTCTGCCTTTCTATGTTCATGACATTTTGAAAATAAGCAGCTCTTGGGGCCGGGCGCGGTGGCTCACGCCTGTAATCCCAGCACTTTGGGAGGCCAAGGCGGGTGGATCACGAGGTCAGGAGATCGAGACCATCCTGGCTAACATGGTGAAATCCCGTCTCTACTAAAAATACGAAAAAAAAAAAAAAAAAAAAAAGCTGGGCATGGTGGCAGGCACCTGTAGTCCCAGCTACTTGGGAGGCTGAGGCAGGAGAATGGCGTGAACCCGGGAGGCAGAGCTTGCAGTGAGCCAAGATCACACCACTGCCCTCCAGCCAGGGTGACAGAGCGAGACTCCATCTCAAAAAAATAAAATAAATTAAATTAAATAAAAAAAAAGAAAGAAAATAAGCAGCTCTTGGAGGCAGCAGGGCATTGTAGAACCCAGACCCATCCAGGTCCAGATGACAGCCCTGTCCACCGTTAGTCATAGTGTCAGTGGACTACTCTGTGCCTCAGTTTCCTCATATGTAAAATAGGAGGAAAGAGCATTTTCCTCCTAGGTTTTCAGGACATTCAAATGAGAAGTGTTCAGCACAGTGGCTGGCACATAATAAGAGATGAATAAACATTAGCTGTTGTAAAGAAAAGGGAATTAATAAATATAAGAGAGACATATAGATAGGTAAGCTGGGTGCAGTGGCTCACACCTGTAATCCCAACACTTTGGGAGGCCAAGGTAGGAGGATTGCTTAAGCTCAGGAGTTCGAGACCAAGCTGGACAACATAGCAAGACCTCGTTTCTACTAAAAATTTTTTAAAAAAGAAAATTAGCTGGGCATAGTGGTGAGCATCTATGATTTCAGCTATGTGGGAGGCTGAGGTGGGAGGATCACTTGAGCCCAGGAAGTCAAGGCTGCAGTGAGCTGTGATCAAACCACTGCACTCCAGCCTGAGCAACAGAGTGAGATCCTGTCTCAAAAATACATACATACATACATACAAACATACACACATAAAAAAGTTTAAAAAGATAGATGACAGATGGATGGATAGATAGATACTATTTGTATTAGATGCACATATAGAATATTTCCTGGATCAGGATTAAAATTTGTTAAATAAGCTTCCTATAAAGAATTAGACAAATTAAGATTCCAAGGAGTTGGGATTTTTTAGAGTTTACTAACTTTGCTTTAGAAAAAAGACTGAAATAGTTTCTCAAAACAACATATATTAGTAATGAGCAAAAGGAAATGGCTAGAAATAAACATTTTCAATATGACCTATTTAAAGCAAAAGATATAGCAGATGTGAAATAGAAACATTGGCTTAAATACAGGAGTGGGGTGGGGTAAACACAGAGGGGGAGAGAAGGAGAGAGAGAGAAAAAAACATTTGATCTTGTAGTTTTAGCTCCTATAGAAACCCTAATAAAGGAAAATTGGACCCAAATTGCACACAGGTGTATAGTAGAAAGATGACTTCAGAGAATCAAATCAAGGAAATGATGGCAATGGCCACAGACTTTAATCTGCAGATTACTCTGGAATTGATTGCTTTCCTTCAAAATGACAACTCATCCATTCTTCTGTCTATTCAGGCATTCATTCACTGCCCAGGCTGCAACCATCTACACCCCAAGTATAACAACAATGATACAACACCAGCAGTAGTGGGTAACATTTTATTGAGCCCTTACTGTGGACCAAATAGATTATCTTAAGTCCTTTACTTGTTATTAACCAATTTCATTCTCACAACAACCTACAAAGGGTGTGCTGGCATCCTCATTGCACGGTTGAGGAAACCGAGGTACAGAGAGCTAAGTGACTTGTCCAAGATCACACAGCTAAGAAGTGGGAGAAGCAGGATGTGAACTCAGGCATGTTGGCTCTAGATCCCCTTCCTCCACCCTCCTTGACCAGTGTGCTCTATGCCTCTAGGCCCCTGGCATGTATTTGACATTAGTAATATTCTACCCTGCCCCCTACATTGGTCCTCCCCCAACACTTCCTCTACACAAGTATTTCTAATTGAGTGCTACACTCTTCACAGTTTTCGGATGAATTCTCTGAATCCTTCTTAACACAACACTCCATGTAACCATCATCAATTAATTAGAATTGGCACGGTGATAAAGCCAGTTTGACAACTGAACCAGTTGTGACTGTTTGATTGCAAGCAACAGTAGCTGACTCTGGTAGCATAAGCCAAAAGGGACTCCACTAAAAGGATATGGGAGAACTTCAAGGACTAAGGTTTAGCAACTAGGAATTTCTCCTGGAGCTCTTGAAAGCAGGTACCTACTAGGCTGGCAGATTTGTCTGGACACTCCCGCTGAAGTTGATGTGTTCTAAGTCTATTTTTTTGTCTTACCCTTGGATCTTTTTGCTGAAGATTTTAATTTCCAAGAGAGTGTCTCTTGGTTTCACACAGACTCTCTGCCCACTGGAAGAACAGGGAATGAAGTTGGGTGAGTTGCCCATAAAGGAAACTGAGGGACTACATTAAGGAGAAAAAATATTCTGGGTAGCCCAAAACACCACCACCAGCAGCAGCACCAAATATACACTGCACTAGACCTGATCTGCCCAATTAACCAGGCCCATGAATTCTAACAGAGCCACAAACTGCAGAACAGGTTAATTGGTTGGACTGTAAGCCATCACTAAAACAGTTTTGCTGATGATTATAAATCGAGGTTGGGTGTCTTCACTTGGGGAACTAACTCATCAACCAGGGAAAGATCTGGCAACCTCCAGGATGAGCCTTTGAAAGTCTCTGATGAAATCAGCTTGTTGATTAACGCAATTAGCACCATTAGGAAAGGAAGTTGTTAACCTAAATCAATTATCCACAGACATCTATCATGCTAAGTGTTCCTTCTTTGTCTTAAGCATATTGCACTGCTTGGTGTTTCAGTGGTGATGACCATTAAAAATAAATGATTATTGTTGATTTTCTATTGATATAGCTATTAATGTATTGGTGCCTGTGTGTATAGGCCGCTTACGTGTAGTGTACAGAAAATAGATGTACTAACAATAGGAAGTAAGTATTGACTCCCATTTCTCAGTTCAGGAGGTAAATATTGACCAACGAAAAGCAGCTACTAGCTTATGATGAGCTAAAAGGGAAAAGGTTCATCTCAGCTCGATTTTTCTTTAATTACTTCTATCATTCATCATCTGTAGTGCCGAGGTTCAGCTGGAAGGATGTAATTCTTTATCTTTGCTTTGGTATCTAATTCAGTCTCCTCAATCATGGTCCCAAAGTACTTTCTACCAGTCAGTTTCCACCTATGTGAAAACTCTTGTTCCTCTTGCCTTTTCTAAACATTTCCATCACTTTGGACTAGCAAACTTAAATCCTCTCTATCCATCTTCCACACTAACCATGATCACATTTTCTTAAACCCAGCCCGAAATGCATAGAACAATTGTCCATGATAATAATAGATAACATCTATTGCTTTCCTTTTACCACCCAGTCCTTTGCATAAATCTCTAATGATCATCTCCATCTTACAGAATGATAATAAAAATAATGATAGCTATTGCTTATGCATTTAAACACTTTGCACATATGAACTAATTTAAAGTCCCAACTAGCTCTGAGGTGACATTATTATGACAATTTTACTGATGAGGAAATACTGAGACAGAGAAAATAAAAATTCTACACAGCCAGTAAATAATAGCATAACCCATTAATTCTGACTATAATTTTCCCCCCATTCATCCATGCTTCTCTGTATGTATTTACTTAAGTTTTGTAGCAGGAGCCAGGTTTCAGGAGTATATTTTTGTTGTCATAGATCTTTGCCCTGGTGTGTGTGTGTGCGTGCATGTGTGTGTGTCTCCACTCCACCCCCCAAAGAGGGAACTGAAATTCAACAAGTTCAAGTAATTTACTAAAGTGTACACAGCCAATAAAATGAATCAAGAGACTTAAGCCAGCCTCTGTCCCCAGACTTTCCTTCTTTGGGCGAGATAGAATCTGAAAAGTTCAATCTTGTAAGAGAAACACAGTCAGGGTTTTTAAGCCTTTTGTTTTCAGATTTCTCCACTGCAGCAGTGCCTGGAATGAGCACTACAGGAACAGAGACAACGTATAATGCTTTATACTCCCATCGGGGCCTGCAATTTGATTGCCACATCCAGAAATATCTGCTTGATCGATGGGAGTGACTGGATTTAACAGAGCAAGTAAGGCTCTGCAGGGAAAGAAAGGACTGTTGCTGGGGGCAACAAAGGAGAATTAATATGAAGAAAATCACAACGCAAAAGAGAAAGAGCGATTGTTCCAAGCATCTTGCCTGATGGTGCCCGAGAAGGTCAGACTTTTACGGAGTCATCAAAAGGTTTAAACACAGCAAACCAGAAAGGCAAGCTGGACTTCCCCTTGGGAGCTGAATTGTCAAGAACTTATTTCAAAATGCTTTAGACTTTCTGCTAAGACAACACTTCTTCAGCTGGTTAATTAAAACTGGGTGTCAGCAGTGCTTCTAAGTCACCAGGAGAGATGTCAGCTTCGGGGCACACTGGGCTGAGGAAAGCTCACAGGTTTTGATCTTCAGGGAATTGCTTAAGGGTCAGGGCACCTCCTTGTAAAAGAAGCTAGAGAAGAGCAGAGAGGAGGGGGGCGAGGAGGATGAACTGGGAAATTCCAGTAGTGGAAGAGGGGAGGCCATTGAGATGTGGACTCAGGATGGATTTA
This sequence comes from Homo sapiens, assembly GCF_000001405.40. NCBI lineage: Eukaryota > Metazoa > Chordata > Mammalia > Primates > Hominidae > Homo > Homo sapiens. Next base: position 115,486,547 of record NC_000012.12, read on the forward strand.
TTTCTTTAATTTTTCTAGAATGACACCCTGGTTTCCCTGGAAAGACTGAACTTCAAAAATAAAAGTTCCTTCTCACTTTTGTTCATTGTTCCTGTTAAGAGTTCGTGAAAGATAATTACTACACTACATGATGAAAATCCCAGGTCACCAGGTACCACTTCATATCAGGAGTAACTTAGATGATTGACAAGCTGATGTAGTCGGCTGCATCATACCCTCCCTCCTCCTCCAACCCCCGAGATGTCCACTTCCTAATCCCCAGAATCCCTGGCACTGGTAACTGTGTGACCTTATGTGGCAAAAGGGACTTTGCAGATGTGATAAATTTGAGGATCTTGAGACAGGAGATGATCCTGAATTATCTAGGCAGGACCAATTCCATTATAAAGGCCTTTATAAGAGAGAGGCAGGAGGGTCAGGAAGAGGAGATGCAATGACAGAAGCAGAGAAGAAAGTGATGCGGGGCCACAAGCTAAGGAACACAGGTGGCTCCTAGAAGCTGGGAAAGACAGGGTACCTGTTTCTCCCTAGAACCTCCGGAAAACCTCACCTTGATTTTAGCCCCATAAGACTTACTTTGGACTTCTGATCTCTCCAACTGTACAAGCCACTAAACTTGCAATAATTTGTTATTACAGCAAAAGGAAACTAATAGAATTAGCTCATATATTGCCTTACTCCGGAAAGGTCTTCGAGTCACTTTCAATGCTATGTAAAATGCAACAAAAATAGCCCAAAGTAAAATGGGGTTAGACAACTTTTTTCCCTGAAACTATTATCAATGGCGAGGGCATAAAACAGCAGAAAAGGAGGCTGAGATCCCTCACATGTTCTGTTGATTTGCCAGGATGGACCATGCATCTGCCCCTCAGCTTCCTGCCAGCCAATGTGAAAAGAGGAATTAGAAAGTTGTGTGGTTCCAAATAGCTGCACAAAACCAAGCCAGTTGCTCAGAAGAATAGCTATTCTTCACACTAAAGCTAGAAATCTTCATTTCTTGGGGTTCTCCTCAATGTTCTCCTTGTGTGTGATGAGATGAAACAGAAGTCACCTGATCATTCATTTCCTTCACACCATTTCTTAGAAGAGCTCTATGGTCTAGGTGCTGAGACACAGAGATGAAGGGCAGTTGCAGGAATAAAGTTATTGTGGTATTCAGGGAAAAGCAAAATAATAAGTACAGTGCTGTAACATGAGGGTGATAAACTTGGAGAGGAAGGAGGAAGCCCAGAAGAAGTTTAGATGGGGCAGTGAGAACCAACTTGGATAGAGCAGGTGGTTCACAGATGGACATTGGACAGGAAAAAATAGATCCAAACCACATAATGGAAAGCCTTGAATCCCAGGATAAGACACATAGACTTTACTCCAAAGTTAACAAGGAGCCATGGAAGGTTATTGAGCAGGATAGTGACATGATGGAGGAAGATTTGGGGGACTCTTTGGGCAAGTGTTGTAAAATAAATTCTCTACGTTATTATTGGTCCAGAAGAAGCATCAAACCCAGCCTAGGCACAGAGAGAAAATCATTCCCAAGTGCTGCGCAGGTTGAGTCTTGAAGGCTGGAGAGGAGTAACCAAGCAGAGAAGGGATGAATATGTGTGTGGAGGTTGTATGGGAGACAGTTAAAGTCACGGTGGAAAAAAAATAATGTGAAATAAATACAGATATCTGGGAGCCAGGGGAAGCCCAGCACCAGTCATGAGTTATGCAGACCAGCCTCAAAGATGCCCGTCTTTGCCCTCCCCCGTTGAAGCAGCAATCATGGATAAGAAAAGATTTCCACAACCAACATTAATTCATTCATTGATTCATTCATTTATTTATTCAGTAAATATTTATTCAGGACTTACTGTGTACCAGGCACTGTGAACACAACAAGGAGCAGACAACACCTTTTGCCTTTATGGAGACTAGATTTGAGGAAAGAAAGACCGTAAGTTCACAAATAAATAATGATATGATACATCAGGTGTTGATAAATGCTACATAATATACAAAGCCCAGAACGGAAAAGGACAAAAATCCACAATGGCAGTGATGCTTGGGTAGAGTTGGGGTCAGGAAAGCAGATGGGATTAGAGCAGAGAGCAGAAACAGCTCTAACAGCTATGATGTGTTTCAGCTCTTCAGTTGAGTGATAGACTCAAAGGTGTGATTTTATTATTGGGTCTTTCTAACTTAACGAGATGCTACATGTATTCTTTTGGATGTGTCAAATATTAACTGGCTTAAACAATTTAGAGGGCTAGGGGCTGCTATTTTTTTTTATTGTGGCGGTCTGGGAAAACATCTGTAAGGAGCTGGTATCTAGCAGAGATGTGAAAGAAATGAGAGAGTGAACTCTAGCTGTGGGAACAGCATCCAGGTAGCAGGAACAGCAGCTGGGAAGGTCCTAAATTCCTGGAGTGTTTGCAGGATCAATCATAGGAGAAAACCTTGGAAGCACAGAGCTACCTAGAACCTCTTTTTGATGGCTAAGGCTGTTATTCATATTTTATATCATTCTCCTCCTGTCCAGGGACTTCGAAAGAGATAAAAGTCATTAATGCATACATTCATTTATTCATTATCATTTGTTAAACACTTACTGTTTGCTTACCAGTGGAGATAAAAATAACAGTGAAAATAAGGTCCATACCTTTAAGGAGCTTATCATCTGTTGAGGGAATCGAGAGGAAGAAATTGAGGAAGGTAGAAAAAGCCCTGAGCATTTTCCGTGTTCAGCTCGCCCCTTCCTAGGATTCCCACCCATGAAGAACTTGATGGGTTCTTCGTGGAACCTCAGTTAGCATGACAGGGTGCTGATTCCTGGTTGAGAACACCCTCCCAGGTCAGGAAGTTCGCTCTGGGCCCAACAATTAGAGGTGGCGACGCTGATGTTCCACAGCGGGTGGCTTCCCCGCCCTGTATGGAGCCACAGTTGTGCACAAACAGAGGTCAGGTGTGGGGCAGCTCTTGCATGCACTTGATAGCTTTTCCAGCCAGTGTAGGTCCAGAAAGTGCCAGACTCCACATCAACTATTTGCACCAAAGATTTGCCTAAACACCTGCTTCATGTAGCAACAGGCAGGGTCATGTTTAGGACATTCCCCTCAATCTGTAAATTCCCAAGAAAATTTGCACATCCTTCCCAATTCTCTGTTCACAAACGACTACTAGGAAAATCAATAGAGAATGAGGTAAGGGAAGCACTTTGTACAAAATGGAAAATTCTGTATTTCCAGTGTAAACCTTTCCCTAGTACTTACAGCATTAGGGAAGTTTGCAATAACAATAATAACCTCAACTTTCTTTGGTTACTCTTCCTCCTTGCTCAAGCAAGAGCTTAGTTGACTGAGCTCTCTCCACCCCAGGTTTTTCTGAGAGTCCACCAGCAGTGTACCACATGTGTGTATAAACAGATTAGCTAGTTCCTCAAAAAGTTAAATGTAGAATTACCATATGACCCTGCAACCCTGATGTGTATCCCCAAAAGAGTGAAAACAGATACTCAAACAAATGCTTGTACATAAATGTTCATAACAACATTATTCATAATAGCAGATAGGTGACAACAACTCACATGCCCATCACTGGAAGAAAAGATAAAATATGGTCTATAAATACAATGACATATTATTCATTCATAAAAAGGAGGGAAGTACTGATAATGCTACAAGGTGGATGAATCCGGAAACTTTACGCTAAGCGAAAGAAGCCAGTTACAAAAAAGTCACATATTGTATGATCCCATTTTTATGAAATTTCCAGAATGGACCAATCCATAAGGATATAAAATAGACTGGTGGTTGCCAAGGGCAGGGAGCAGGAGGGAATGGGAGTGGCTGCTTCATGGGTGCAGGATTTTCCTTTGGGGTGATGAAAGCGTTTTGGAACAAGATA